>NC_000006.12:62913412-63216442 GCF_000001405.40 Homo sapiens | reverse complement strand
CATGGATTCACACAAAAAGATGAAGCAAATATATTTGTGCTGATTTGGAAATATCTTCATGGTATATTGTTGGGAGGAAAAAGAACAAAGTTCAAGACAATGTAAGAACCATGTTCCAATTTGTGCAACTAAAATAATCACCAAGATGTGCTGTGTATACTATATGCTAAGACTTACACTAACTACTTTACAAATTTCAACTTTAAAGCAATCCCCTCCATTCTTCCTATATTGAGGATCTGAAGGGATTTCTAATTTTCCCAAAATTACGCAAGTGACTAACTTGAATTTACGTCTCAGTATACAATTGTTAAGTTTGTTAGGGGCAAATGCTCAAGTATGTCCCTGTAATTTAATATTATAAATTGTGGCTACTGAAAGATCATGGTATAACCTCCATAGAGAATGTCATGTAAAAATGAGTTCATTCTGTTTCTTACCATTTTTTATTTACATATCTATATAGTTTATTTTAACAAGTACACATATTTGTGTCTTTTCTTTTTAAAGAAATAATAGTCAATTATTATATATTTTTTAAAAATTTGACTTGTAAGAATTAGCTTAGGGTCTTCTAACAGTCACACAGAGCAAAGTGCTGGGGGCTGGAGGGTGATGGATGTGGGAGGGGGATTATTAAGATGATTTTAGCTGCATTCACATGGCAAAGCAGTAGTCTCTCAGGGGAGCTACCTGAGTTCTTTACCTTTGATACCAGATATATATTTTTACTCTTCTTGAGATCATGCGGTTCATGTAGACCATCAACTAAGGCTCAAGGGCTTTGCACCAAAGTGCTCCATCAGCTCAGCAACACTTACTAACACTTCTTAAATTGAAAGGGCAATTGTTCCTTGCCTTTTCTTTCTTTTCCTCTTTATGCATAATTCATACAAGAATATTTATCTATTTATCATGCTACTCTATATTCTAACTGAAGATTAGAAATGAGAAAATAGAACTTTTTTGGCCACAGATTCAGGAAGAATCTTTTGCTTTTAAACATAATCAATTAAATTTTTTCTTGAAATGAGGCTCATAATTTTGAAATCTGAAATAGTCTTGTTATGAAAATTGTACAATCATGGTGAATAATAGTGAAATATAAATGTGTAGCCTTACAAGTGAATTTGTAATGTTGCAGGAATCAGAAGGACCAGAGAGACCAATGGGTGAAACAGGAGGATTTTATTTAAGTGGCCACTGGCCCAGAAGATTCACATCCAAAAGCTGAGCCCTGAACAAAGACAGGGCTTGACTTTTATACATACTCCTGAAAGGGGCTGGCTAGTTTGATTGGGGTGGCGGGAGTCTAATGGCATGAAACTCATGGTGCAGGCAAGTGGGCTTACAGAAGCAGAACAAACACAGTTAATCAAACAGTGACAGGGTTAAGCTTGTGACCTTGTAGCTGCATTGAAAGAAAAACAGGAACTTACAAAAGTTGGGAAATTGAGAAACAGTAAGGAGATGAAGAGATAGCAAAGGAATTGGTTTTCTTGTCCTTGCTCTGAGGGGGGCGTTGGGAGGTCTCTGGGGCTCATTCCTGTGGACTCTGGCTTCCTAGATACTGTTATCACATCTCGGCCAGGGCCCTGCCTATTGCTGGCCTTGGAGTGAGTCAGCCAAGTACAGGAAAACTTGTTTTTCTCTTTTAACTTCTGCTTCAGTAACAAAGAGTGGAGAACAACATATTTTTTAATACTCAGAACTTAAATTTTTACAATAATTTAAAAAATACTATATATAATTGGATGACATAGATTAGAGATAGGCTAAACTATGATAACAAAGAGGTCCCAAAATGAAAAGGCTCAAACCAGAAAGCACATTATTCCTTTTAGCAGTCAGTGGGCATGTGGGCTCTACTTCTTGAGGTAAGCCAAGGTTTCAGGCTGACTTGGTTGCTCTTGCATAACGAGGGTTTCAATGTTACTGCACCATTTACAACTGGAAAGAAAAGGAGAGGGGAAGGGAAGGGAAAGTGATCTTTCTTTAAGGCAAGTGCAAGATGCGGGAAGCGTGCATTTCTCTCTCGCACAGTTCACTGGTAAGAAATAGGATACATGGCTAGCCATACCTCTGAGAGAAGCCAGGTAATATAATCTGGGTGGCTATGTGCATTGTTGAAATGTTATTACAAAAGAAAAAAAGAGGGCCAGGCACAGTGTCGCACTCCTGTAATCCCAGCACTTTGGTAGGCCGAGGTTGGTGGATCACCTGGGGTCGGGTATTCGAGAACAGCCTGACCAAGATGGAGAAACCCCATCTCTACTAAAAATACAAAATTATCCAGGTGTGGTGGCGCATGCCTGTAATCCCAGCTACTTGAGAGGCTGAGGCAGGAGAATTGCTTGAACCCAGGAGGTGGAGGTTGCGGTGAGCCGAGATCATGTCATTGCACTCCAGCCTGGGCAATAAGAGTGAAACTCCATCTCAAAAAAAAAAAAAAAAAAAAAAAGAAAGAAAGAAAGAAAGAAAAGAAAAAAGAGAAGTGTAGATTTTTTGGGGGCAGGAACAAACAGTTTGTCTCATTTGCCCTTAATTATTTCACAATTTTAAAATTTATCTTATAGTTGCATACAAATACTAAAGGATGGAGATCAATAAAGCATAACCTGAAGCTGCTATAATATGAATTAAGATGCGTTTTTAGCTGCAAGCATTTAATTTACATTTAAATATACTAGGATTTAGAGTGTTAAGTAATTGAAACTAAAAAGTCCGGTCAATAGTTTTAATCCAAGTCACCTATAAGTTACATTACTACTCTTCATTATAAGAATTGTACAACTGAAAATTCATACTGTTATAAAAATGCCAGGGTTTTGGTCTAGGTCCTGCAGCTCACCACCCTGAAAGCCAATCACTGAGACAATGAGAATTTCCAGGGAAGAAGGCTTTATTTGGGTGCTACAGCTGAGGAGAATGGGAGATGAGCCTTAAATTAGTCACCTCAACCAACTAAAACTAAGGGTTTGTATAGCAGGGAAGAAATGTAACTATGTGTGGGAAAACAGGAATTAGGGAGGGGTAAAGAAGAGGAGTTGGTCAACAGGAAGCAGGTGGTCACTTATGCGATCATGATAGGTGAGGAGTCTTTCATCTTATTGTCCAGATGTGGTGATCTCGTAAGTTTCCTTTCCTTGATACTGTCTGGAAGGCCTGATGTGTGGTTTCCTGAGAAAGGAACCCAGATAAGACAAATGTAACTTTCTCAAGTTTTAAGATGGGAGTCTCAATTTTTATGTTTATTCAAAAGAAACCATAAACAGCAGTTCTATGAGTAATTAGGCTGGTTCCATACCATATTTTTATTTATATTTAGTTATTTATTTAATTTTTTTATTTCCATAGATTTTTGGTGAACAGGTGCATACTGTATTTTTATTTTATTTATTTATTTATTTATTTATTTTTTGAGAAAAGCCAGCATAAAGCACTTTTATTGCAATAATAAAACTTGAGACTCATATATGGTGCTAGGGGAAGGGGGCAGCAACGATTCCTCTCACCAAATCACTACACAGGACAGCAAAGGGGTGAGAAGTGGCTGAGGGAGGAAAAGCCAGGAAACTCTGAGATCAGCAGAGGGAGCCAAGCATCAAAAAACAGGAGATGCTGAAGCTGGGATGACCAGCATCATTTTCTTAAGAGAACATTCAAGGATTTGTCATGATGGCTGGGCTTTCACTGGGTGTTAAGTCTACAAACAGCACCTTCAATTGAAACTGTCAATTAAAGTTCTTAAGATTTAGGAAGTGGTGGAGCTTGGAAAGTTATGAGATTACAAAATTCCTGAAAGTCCGTTAGAAAAACCACAGGATGAAAAAAAAAAAAAAAAAAATAAGGCCACAAAGAAGGCTTCAGAGGTCCCTGCTGGCCCAGGGACAGATACCTGTAGTGTCCAGCATCGCAGTGAACATGACCTGCTTTCAAAGGCAGAGGGTTTAAGGGGAGGGTGGGGTGGGAATGGTGGAGGCAAAGCCTCTCCCCATCCCCACCTCAGTTTTAGGTAGGGCTTTTAATTTAACCCAAGGACATCTCTCAACTTGGAGAATAATTCAGTCCTCAACAGTGCCTCAAATCTGCTATGGTTTTGCAGCGCAGCAGCAAGAATGTTTAATATATAATAGATAAAAATTTCATCCAAAAAATTAAAATAAAATATTCTTGCAACCCCCTCAACACCAATTCCTATCCTAACGTTAACTTATCACTTGTGCTGTTAACACTTGACCATGTACTTAATTGGAAACCTATATTCAAAAGACTGAAACTGAATCTTCACCCCAAAATGAAAAAGTAAAATGAATAACTTGACGTTTATGGCATATAGTTTAGGTAAACGCACATACCAGGAGAAAGGGGAAGAGGAAACAGAGGTGTCGGAAGCAAAGCTGAGTGACAGAACACATTCAGTTGGGGCAGATGTCTATACAAAGTGGAGTGGAACATCAGGAAAAGCTCCATATGGATTTATGTGCACACGTCTGGAGGCACCAGATCCCTCCATGGCAGATCCAAGAACAGGGAGCTAAGGGAGGAGGCCATTCCTGTCATTCCAGTTTTAGAAGCTCCACATCGAAGACGAGAGTGGCATGTGGTGGGATGATGCCTGGGTGCCCAGTGGCACCATAGGCATAATCTGGAGATATAGTCAGTTTGGCTCTCTGACCCACACTCATCTGGACAACCCCTTCTTCCCAGCCTCGGATCACCTCCTGCTTGCCTAGCATAAACTTAAAGGGCTTGTTTCTGTCCCGGGAGGAATCAAATTTCTTTCCATCTTCAAGCATCCCGGTGTAGTGCATCACGCAGGTCTGGCTGCGCTTCGGGAAGGTGCGCCAGTCTCCTGGGGAGATGGTTTCCACGTGCACTCCCATGGCGGCGGCCGACGCCGAGCGGGCGGGCAGCGCGACGGGCGGCGTGGACCGACAGCGACCTGGCGGCGGTTCCACGGCTCTGCCTAGTCCCTCAGCGCGTTGCCTGCCCATACTGTATTTTTAAAATCTACAAATTCTATATTAGTGCCTTCTGGGCAAGTGTGTTGAATGAGTCACTTAAAAATCTCTAAATAGGTTTTTTTTTTTTTTTCCCGTACTGGAAGTGTTACCATTTCCTTGTTAACTTTGTTAACTTTGTGTTTGGTCTCCCATTATCTGTGGCGGCTACGTTCCAAGATCCCCAGTGGGTGCCTGAAACCACAGAACCACAGATAGTACAGAACCCTATATATACTATATTTTTTCCTGTACATACATACCTATGATAAAATTTAATTTATAAATTAGGCACAGCAAGAGACTAAAAACAATGACTAATAATAAAATAGAACAGTTATAACAATATAAAAGCATCATTACTCTTGCACTTTGAGGCCATTATGAAGTAAAATAAGGGGTACATATTAAACACAAGCTCTGAGCTACCTTACAATTGATCTGATAACCAAGACAGCTACTGAGTGACTAACAGACAGGGAGGGTATACAGTGTGGAGATGGTGGACAATGGGATAATTCACGTCTCAGTCAGGTGAGAGTGGAACGGGATGGCTCGAGATTTCTTCACACTACTCAGAATGGTGTGCAATTTAAAACTTATGAATTGTTTATTTCTGAAGCTTTCAATTTAATATTTGCAGACCACTATTGACCATGGGTAACTGAAACTGCAGAAAGCAAAACTGTGGATAAGGGATACTATTGTATATATCTGGAGTTTGATTTAAAGGTCTAAAACAGATCTCTAAAACTTTTGCTCAAATGAATTAACTGTTGTCCATCTAAATAGTATGCTACGATTAGCGTAGCCACTATTGTCAGGTTTCTGCCAGAAGTATCAGTGTAGAGAGATATTTTAAAGAAAAAAGGAAGGATGTATATATTTGAAAGTTGTCCAGTACTTTGCATATAAACTCACAGTTATATTTTTCTTTCTGTGTGTTCTATTATGTTCATGTTAACTTAGAAAGAAATATGCTTTGAGTCTGGTTTACAAAGAACGATATAGATTCAGTAGTCTAAACTTAATGATTTACATACAGCTTTTTTAGTGATAGAAAACACTAGGTAAGTTAAGAAAGTTTAAGAGAAGCTGCTATTGTTCTTGAAAGCATGTATATTTAACTCTTTCTATGTGAAAAGAATGTTTTTGCATTCTTTGTTGCTGTAGATGTTATGTGTATATACCTTTTACTTTTGTAATTTTTAAAAAACAGTGGAATTATAAATTTCTTATCAACTTGTCTTTAGGTTAAATACATTTAGTGTAGCCTCTGCTTGCCATTAGGGCTAAGAACCTAACTACATTTGAAATAGAACCATAGTCGACTTACACTGCAAAAATTTTTTATTAGAATTCTTCTGATAATACTTCACACATTTCATAGCCATCTATATGCTAATATTTCCAACAAATTATCAGATGCTATTTCTACATAACCCTTTTCTCAACAAATGACCTGTCATGTTCATAATGGCCTCATTTTTTGGTGGCAGTTTTAATTTTATCTAGCAAAAAATTGAAAGCTCACAAAGAAACTAATTATATAGTTTCACAGTTAATAATATGGTTTCTAGTTTTAAGACTTGTAATGTGCAAATTTATCTAGTTAAGTTTTCTAAGAGTCGAGGCTGCTGTTTCTTCTTTTAAAATCATTTACAAACCCTTTTTGAAGGAAAGTAGAAATTTTCATACTGTGGTCTTACAAGGATTGAGTGCTGATTTTACATTGTAGTTATTGATTATTTTGTAAGCATAAACTCATGTACATCACATTTCCATTACACACACAATGTCTCGTTAAGTTTCCTTCTTTGAAGAATTAACTGCTCTCCAAAATGTAATCAGAAGGAAGGCATATCAACTGGGAATTTATTTGGGTTATTTACCAATAACGCCAATAGTACTTATTACCTGAAAACTTGGGATTTTGAACAATATGATTCTTAAGGTATGTTGTTTTTCTGACAGAAAATTCAAGATGTGGAGAGTTATTTTATCTGTATCCAGGGTTATCTTAGCAAAGACACAATTATTAATAATTAAATTGACTAATAATACAAAACTGATATTATTTCATGTGATTTTGTTAACAAATAAATATTTTAAAACCAATATTAAAATGTAGTACTTTAACACTTTTTTCGTTTGATACTATCCTTTGACAACTTGAAGAAGAATTTAAGATAGGAAAATAATAAAAGTAGGAAGGAAGAAGGTAAAAGCAGTTTAGTGAGCAAGAGATTGATATATTAGAAATGTTACACATAGGGAAACTGAAAGAACAAGCTAAGAAAAAAGCCGTTGAGGAAAACGAAAAAAATAAGATTGAAACAAATTTGAGGTTTACTACAGTCTTTAGGTGAGATATTCTATTTTGTCTTAAGTTACAGAGATCTGAATATTCCTACATTTATTTTCTGAGCATATAAGGACTCTGCCATTCATGTGTCCACCTGTAGATGCACAAGGATTTCTGTGTTGACTCCAGGAAGGTTTAAGAACATCTTGTCAACTTGTTATTTTGCTTTTCAAATCGAATCTGAAAATATACTTTTCATTATTTGATTTCCTTAATTGCTTTCTCTCATAGTTGGTTTGGTGAATTAATGACTTACGTATATTCACCGTTTAGTGGCATTCCACTTACTTACATCATTTATATGATTATACCTTACATTATTTATTTTCTCATTTTATTTCATAAGGCTCTTGAGGTAGAGCTTATCAAAAGTATATTTCCAAAACTCATAGATATTATTCTTTAATGTTAAAGTATTGTTTCCATTAACCTTAATGGTCCTTCAGAGAAACTGACTTTTGAATATACAAAACTGTTTTATCATTTTGATTGAAGTAGTTTTAATTCGAGTACTTTGTCACCTGCAATGTACTGAATGCTTGCATGGTTGGGCTCAACTGCACACACTCAGTGGATCTATCATAGAGAAAATTGTGGGTTTAGTTTTATCATCCATTATCATTACTACTGGTTGACTTTCAAATTTTAGACTCCGAGAAGGATAGTATTACTCAATGACTCTAGTACATTGATTCAGAAATGAACTTGTTAGTCCTAAAATTTAAGAGACAAGTATTATGCCCTTTAAATGTAAGAGTTTTTAAGTAGAGACTGAAATCTCACATGACTTAAACTGTCATTATTATTGTAAATTGTGTACATAATGACAAATTTGGTGCTATGAAATTAAACATTTGTACAAGTAATAAAAGCAATTGAAGTTTGACCTCTGGATTGTGGAGGAAACATGAAAGATATTTTTTTCTCTGTGTTTGAATGATTAATCTGTTTAAAAGAAACAAAAAGAAATGCAGTTTATAAACTGATTTTGAAGAGATAATTTCTTTGAGAATTTTTGTTTCCCTCATAAAAAGCAAGTTGCCGTGTAAATGACTATCCTATATCTGGTTCAAAGTGTTGGACAAGGTGTCCCTCTCTTCTCTCTGTCACTATTCCATTGAAGGTGGTATTGAAAGCATAGGTGTATTAGTTCATTTTCACACTGCTGATAAAGACATAACAAAACTGGGAACAAAAAGAGGTTTAATTGGACTTACACTTCCATACGGCTGGGAAAGCCTCAGAATTATCATGGGAGGTGAAAGGCACTTCTTACATGGTGGCAGCAAGAGAAAAGTGAGGAAGAAGCAAAAGCAGAAACCCCTGAAAAACCCATCAGATCTCATGATACTTATTCACTATCACAAGAATAGCACAGGAAAGACCGGGCCACATAATTCAATTACCTCCCCCTGGGTCCCTCCAATAACACGTGGGAATTCTCAGAGATACAATTCAAACTGAGATTTTGGTAGGGACACAGCCAAACCATATCATTCCACCCCTGGCCCCTCCAAATATCATGTCCTCACATTTCAAAACCAATCATGCCTTCCCAACAGTCCCCCAAAGTCTTATTTCAGCATTAACCCAAAAGTCCACAGTCCAAATTCTCATCTGATACAAGGCAAGTCCCTTCTGCCTATGAGCCTGTAAAAGCAAGAGCAAGCTAGTTACTTCCTAGATACAATGGGGGTACAGGTATTGGGTAAATACAGCCATTCCAAATGGGAGAAATAGGCCAAAACCAAGGGGTTACAGGGCCTATGCAAGTCCAAAATCCAGCAGGGCAGTCAAATATTAAAGCTCCAAAATAATCTCATTTGACTCCAGGTCTCACATCTAGGTCATGCTGATGCAAAAGGTGGGTTTCCGTGGTCTTGGGCAGCTCTGTCCCTGTGGCTTTGCAGGGTACAGCCTCCCTCCCAGCTACTATTCTGGAGTCTGGAGGACAGTGGTCCTCTTCTCAGAGATCCACTAGGCAGTGCCCCAGTAGGGACTCTGTGTGGGGGCTCTGACCCCGTATTTCCCTTCTGCACTGCCCTAGTAGAGGTTTCCTATGAGGGCACCACCCCTGCAAAAAACTTGCCCGGACATCCAGGCGTTTCCCTACATCTTCTGAAATCTAGGCAGAGGTTCCCAAACCTCAATTATTGACTTCTGTGCATCCTCAAGCTCAACACCATGTGGAAGCTGCCAAGGATTGGGGGTTCCACCCTCTGAAGCCATGGCCTGAGCTGTATATTGGCATATTTCAGCTGTGGCTGGAGCGGCTGGGACACAGAGCATCAAGTCCCTAGGCTGCAAATAGCATGGGACCCTGGGCCTGGACCACAAAACCATTTTTTCTTCTTGAGCCTCTAGATCTGTGATGAGAGGGGCTGCCATGAAGGTCTCTGACATGGCCTAATGACATTTTACCTAGGGTCTTGGGGATTAACATTAGGCTTCTTGCTACTTATGCCAATTTCCACAGCTGGCTTCAATTTCTCCTCAGAAAATAGCATCATCAGGCTGCAAATTTTCCAGACTTTTATACTCTGCTTCCCTTATAAAACTGAAAGCCTTTACCAGCACCCAAGTTACCTCTTGAATGCTTTGCATTTTAGAAATTTCTTCTGCCAGATACCCTAAATCATCTTTCTCAAGTCCAAAGTTCCACAAATATCTAGGGCAGGGGCAAAATGCCACCAGTCTTTTGGTAAAACATAACAAGAGTCACCTTTACTCCATTTCCCAAAAAGTTCATCATATCCATTTACGGCCACCTCAGCCTGGACCTTATTGTCCATATCACTATCAACATTTTGGGCAAAGCCATTCAAGTCTCCAGAAAGTTCCAAACTGTCTCACATTTTCCTGTCTTCTTTTGAGCCCTCCAAACTAGTCCAACCTCTGCCTGTTACCCTGTTACAAAGTCACTTCCACATTTTTAGGTATCTTTTTAGCAATGCTCCACTCTACTGGTGCCAATTTACTGTATTAGTTCATTTTCATGCTGCTGATAAAGACATACCTGAAACTTAGTACAAAAAGAGGTTTAATTTGACTTACAGTTCCACAAGGCTGGGAAGGCCTCAGAATTATGGTGGGAGGTGAAAGGCACTTCTTACATGGCAGTGGTAAGAGAAAAATTAGGAAGAAGCAAAAGTAGAAAGCCCTGATAAGCCCATCAAATCTCATGAGACTTATCCACTATCATGAGAATAGCATGGGAAAGACGGGCCCCCACGATTCAATTACCTCCCCTGGATCTCTCCCACAACATGTGGGAATTCTGGGAGATACAATTCAAGTTGATATTTTAGTGGGAACACAACCAAACCATATCAATAGGAAATGTAACAACCGACATTTTTGATTTTATTGATACAAATTCAAAAATACTCAGTAACCAAAAATCCTTGCTCTTAAAGAGTTTGCATTTTGGTAGAGAATGATGGACAATAAAAACAATGAATTAGTAAATTAAATCATGGGTTAAATTGTATTATGGTGTGAGTAAGAGAGATGGGGATGTCAGAGCTCTCACGTCTCATTGAGAAGCTGATATTTGAGAAGAGACAAATGAAGGACAGAAATTCAGCTTGCAAATATCTGAAGGAGGAGTATTTTAGGCAGAGAAAACAGCCAGTGCTGTGGTCCTGAGGCAGAAGTATGCCTTGTGGGCCTGAGGAACTAGAGGAGGCCAATGCAGCATGAACAAAAGTAAGAGTCATAGAAGATAAGTTCAGATAATAGGAGCTTTGGTTTTTGTTTTGAGTGAGAAATGACATGTGACTTATATTTTTAAAAGATCCCTTTGGATGCTACTTTGATAATAAATTGAAGGGAAACAAGGATGAAGGGGAGAAGAGCACTTGGGAAGCTATTGCAATAATCCAGGTGAGAGATGGTGGTAGCATGGACCAAGATAATTGATTAGAGGGTGGATGAAGTGAGGAGTGTTAAAAAAGAGAGGAGTCAAGGATGACTCCAAGACTTTTGGCCTGAGCAACTGATATGGTGTGGCTGTGCCACTACCAAAATCTCATCTTGAATTTTAACTCCCACAACTCCCATGTGTTGTGGGAGAGACCCAGAGGGAGGAAATCAAATCACGGGGGTGGGTCTTTTCCATGCTATTCTCACAATAGGAAATATGTCTTACAAGATCTAATGGTTTTAAAGAGGGGAGTTTAACCACACAAGCTTTCTTCTCTTGTCTGCCGTCATGTGAGAAATGCCTTTCGTCTTCCACCATGATTGTGAGGCCTCCCCAGCCACATGGAACTGTAAGCCCAATAAACCTCTTTTTTTTTTTTTTTTTTTTTTTTTTTTTTTTTTTTTTGTAAATTTTCCAGTCTTCCATATGTCTTTATCAGCAGTGTGAAAATGGACTAAAACGGTAAATTGGCACCAGGAGTATCTGCAGCTTTTCCAGGTACATTGTTCACCTGGAAAGATACCTGAAAATTTAGAAGCGACTTTGGAACTGGGTAAGAGGCAGAGGTCAGAATAGTTTGGAGGGCTCAAAAGAAGACAGAAAAATGTTGGAAAGTTTGTAACTTCCTAGAGACTTATTGAATAGCTTTAACAAAAATGCTGATAGTGACATGTACAATAAGGCCCAGGCTTAGGTCATATCAGATGGAGATGAGGAACTTGTTGGGAACTGGAGCAAAGGTGACTCTTGTTATGTTTTAGCAAAAAGACTGGTGACATTTTGCTCCTGCCCTAGACATTTGTGGTAACTTGAACTGAGAGAGATGATTTAGGGTATCTGGCAGAAGAAATATCTAAGCAGCAAAGTGTTCAAGAAGTGACTTGGGTGTTCTTAAAGGCATTAGTTTTATAAGGTAAGCAGAGCATAAAAGTTTGAAAAATTTGCAGCCTGACAATGTGATAGAAAAGAAAATCCCATTTTCTGAGGAGAAATTCAAGCCAACTGCAGAAATTTGCACAAGTAACGAGGAGTCCAATGTTAATCACCAAGACTATGGAGATAATGTCTCCAGGAAATGTCAGAGGTCTTCACTGCAGCCCCTCCCATCACAGGCCCAGAGGCCTAGAGGGAAAAAGTGGTTTGCAGGCTGGGCCCAGGGTCCCCATGTTGTGTGCTGCCTAGGGACTTGGTGCCCTGTGTCCCAGTCACTCCAGCCATGGCTGAAAGGGGCCAATGTAGAGGGTGGACCCTGGCTTCAGAGGATGCAAGCCTCAAGCCTTGGCCGCTTCCACATGGTGTTGAGCCTGTGAGTGCACAGAAGTCAAGAATGGGGGTTTGGGAATTTCTGCCTAGATTTCAGAAGATGTAGGAAAACTCCTGGATGTCCAGGCAGAAGTTTGCTGCAGGGGTGGGGCCCTCATGGAGAACCTCTGCTTGGGCAGCACAGAAGGGAAATGTGGGGCTGGAGTCTCCACACAGAGTCCCTACTGGGGCACTGCCTAGTGGAGCTGTGAGAAGAGGGCCACCATACCCCAGACCCCAGGATGGTACAGCTGCTGACAGCTTGCATTGTGCACCTGGAAAACCTGCAGATACTCAATGCCAGCCCTTGAAAGCAGCTGGGAGGGAGGCTGTACTGTGCAAAGCCACAGGGGCAGAGCTGCTTAATACCATGGGAACCCACCTTTTGCATCAGTGTGACCTGGATGTAAGACCTGGAGCCAAAGGAGATCAGTTGGGAAATTTAAGATTTGACTGCCCCACTGGATTTCAGATTTGCATGGGGCTTGTAGCCCCTTTGTTGTGGCCAATTTCTCCCATTTGGAACGGCCATATTTCCCCAATGCCTGTACCCCCATTTTATCTAGGAAGTAACTAACTTGCTTTTGATTTTACAGGCTCATAGGCAGAAGGGACTTGCCTTATCTTGGATGAGAGACTTTGACTGTGACTTTCAAGTTAATGCTGAAGTGAGTTAAGACTTTGGGGGACTATTGGGAAGGCATGATTGGTTTTGAAATGTGAGGACATGATATTTGGAGGGGCCAGGGATGGAATGTTATGGTTTGGCTGTGTCCCCACCCAAATCTCATCTTGAATTGTAGTTCCCACAATTCCCACACGTTGTGGGAGGGACTCAGTGGGAGGCAATTGAATCATGGGAGCATGTTTTTCCTATGCTATTCTCATGAGAGTAATATGTCTCATGAGATCTGATGATTTTAGAAAGGTGAGTTTCCTCACACAAGGTTTCTTCTCTTGTCTGCCATCATGTGAGACAGGCATGATTGTGAGGCCTCCCCAGCCACATGGAACTGTAAGTACAATGAACCTCTTTTTTTTGTAAATTTCCCAGTCTTGGGTATGTCTATATCAGCAGGGTGAAAACAAACTAATACAGTAACCGACAGGATGGAGTTGTCATTGCTGAGATGGGAAAGTCTGTGGAAGGCATGGGTTTAGGAGAATGATTAAGAGTTCAGTTTTGGAACCATTAAATTAGAAATGTCTATTATTCATCTAATTGGCAATGTCAAGAAGGAAACTGAGTTGAAAGAAATTGGGACTCAGAGGAGCGGTTTGTTTTTGAGGCATAAGTTGGAAGTCATCAGCATATGGATATATTTAAAACCAAGTGAAGGAATGAAATTACCAAGAGGGTAATTATAAACTGAGAAAAAACTCTGTCCAAGGACGGAGCTTCTGGGCACTCCAGTGCTAAGCTATGAGACGTTTTTTGGGTAACTAAAGAGCTACAGAGGAGTGTTGACCAATAAGGCAGAGTTTAGGAAGATGTAGCCTGAAATGTAAGTGACTTTCCCAGCAACACTCTGGTGAGGATCCTAATTTAAACACTGCATGATAGAAGGAGGCAGACATGAGGAGGTCCGATTACTGCCTTTTGGGATTGCAGTTGCTATTTGCAAGCCTATATTTTAAATGAGTTAATGTTTGTAAAGCATTTAGAAAAATGCCTGACATATGCTTCTTTAGTGTTTGTTACATAGGTACATACATTAAATAGTCATTAGTACTCTTGCCCCTCGCCTTTTTTTTTTTTTTTGAGACAGGGTCTTGCTCTGTCTCCCAGGCTGGAGTGCAGTGGCACGGTCTCCGCTCACTGCAAGCTCCACCTCCCAGGTTCACAGCATTCTCCTGCCTCAGCCTCCTGAGTAGCTGGGACTACAGGCGCCCTCCAACATGCCTGGCTAATTTTTTTTTTTGTATTTTTAGTAGAGACAAGGTTTCACCATGTTAGCAAGGATGGTGTCGATCTCCTGACCTCGTGATCCGCCTGCCTGGGCCTCCCAAAGTGTTGGGATTACAGGCATGAACCACAGCGCCCAGCCTCTTGCCCCTTTTAATTATTCCCCAACACCTCCATAAAAAATGGCTTAGGCTCTACCTTTTATCCTTAGGTTAAGATATCAGATAATTCTTCTTTAAATATATATATTTTTAATATGAAGGGAATCTTATTTTCTTAGTGATAGATTTTTGCAGCAAAGAGACTTTCTAAGCAAGAGCTTTGATAAGCCGTCTGCATAGGGAGTCATAGCTTGAAGAAACATAGATGGTTACTATTTACTTTCTGTGTAATTAGTAAACAATTATTTTGTAGAAGAGGGTAAGTTTAGGAAACACAATTGTGGATGTTTCCTGGAAGCTCTGTGTAGGAAAAGGAAAATAAATTAAGTGGCAAAGTTGAAGAAGAATTTAGTAGGAAAGAATGAGAAATAGAAATATCTATTAGGGAATTTTATTAAGTTTTTACTGTGTTACATATGACGAAAATGTTTTCGCTCCAATATTCTCATAAAATAGTCAGTAAAATAGCTATTTTAAGAATGTGTTGTTGAAATGGATGTTTCGGAGAATATGGCAAAGTACTTCTTGTTGTGTGAAGGATTTGAAGTGATAACAGAGATACAAGATGTTAAACTTGAATATTTTTCTTACTCTCCTAGGCCACACAGATGTTCCTGTCTTTGAGTTCTCATCTCTTTTGAAAGTATTTTAACTTTCTCTTAGATATTTTCTGCAGAAACCAGTATGAGAATGCTAATAAGTGTAACTTGAAAATATATGGGGTTAAACACAATTAAATAACTTCCTTTTCTGTAAGAATTTTCAATATTTACTATGTTGTTTGGTAGTGAGACTCATGAAGTAAGGGAAAATAGTATTATTAACTACTTAAGAAAAAAATATATTTCACAGGATTCATGATCTGTGAAACACACTTAAAGAAGCCATTCAATTAAAAGTTATTTTTTTCCAGCCACAAAATCCCTACCAAATACAATAACCTGGGTCCAAAAATAGATTGTTGTGACATTATTTAAATGAATGGGCATATTTTGAAATTAATGAAGTGAATGAGCTTGATGATCTCAAGTTCTGGAAGACCTCAAATTAATATGGACGTGAGACAAGTCCAATCTCTGTTGTATTTTGGTGTTACCTGGTGGAAGTTATCTGACTTATTTGAAATACTAGTGAGAAGGATTATAAGTCCCGATATTGACTGGGATGTCCAGTACAGTAGTAGTGATTCTAGAAGTCTTCCAATTCCTTGGTGCAGAAAAAGACTGGAAAAGAGAAACTACTTTCTGCTTTTCCACATCCTCTTGCCATATCCTGAGACACAACACCTGTTATTTCTTTGGGGTAATCTTTCCTTTTATGTTTCTACCTCCCCACAGAAGATTAGAACTTGAGTCTTCCCGCACTGGAGAATGGGTATTAGGTGCATGATTGGTGCCAATCACAATTAAGACATATCTCAATTCGATTTATCATGGGGATTTGCTCTATAAGTTACTGGAATTCAGAAAACATGCTATATTCTGTTGACTCACCAAGGAATAATTATTTTGTTATGGTGTAGAATAAACAAAACTTATTTTCTACCTTCAAGGGTAAATAGTACAGTAGGGGTGATTGCAAAAGTACAGTAGGGGTGACTAAATATTAGCTGTAATTTATTACTCTACTGTAATAGAGTTATATGAATTACAGCTAACATTCAGGACTGGCTACATAATTTTTTGGGCACAGTATAAAATGAAATTGCAGCTTTGCTAAGGAATGAAGAAGCTAAACTACTTGGCCAATGTTACACAGTTAGTGGCAGATCTAGTATTCAAGGCCAGGTCTTCTGGTTTCAGAGAATCCACTTTAGCCACTAGATAATATGACCTCCTTATTTCTTTTTAAATTTAACTGTATAAAGCAACTCACTTACTCATACACATAGATACACCCTCCCCACAGTAGCCTCGAAATTTTTTTCTGTATTGATCCTACATGACAAATTATGAGTTATCTTTGCCTATTTCTTTAATTCTTGTTTGTGATGGAGTAATCAGCTTAAGCAGAGAGAAGTGCTAGACACGAGTATTGTCATGCTATATGTCAGTGTCTCCCTCTCCAGTGCAAGACCAGCTAATACAGTCACCAGAAGATGTAAGTTAGGTGTTTCTTAGAAGTAAAAGCTACCTACCCTATGAGAGATTTATTATGAAAAAAACTGGGATAGGCAACTGAAATATTTGATTTTCTAATATGTTGGGAGTCCCCACTACCCAATACCCAAGTATTTCCTAAGAGTCTTTATATAAATCACTTTCCCAAACAGTTATCAGATGGTTTCCATATTCCCGTCCTCTACATTTTTTGGAGAGAGATAGGAGTTGGCACAGAGAGGTTGAGAATAAGAAGATAGATGAATGTTGAATTATTAGTATAGTATCTGCTAAAGAACAAGGATAGTGACTACTATGCACCTACCTATTTGAAGAGTTCTGCTGTGTGACTTGAATGGCATGTTATTAAAGCTCATTTATTAATCTCATCCTTTTGATGATGGAGGAAACAGAGGCCTAGAGAGGTAAAATGCTGAGTTGATGGCGTACCTATGATGACTCCCAGGTGTCTCATTGCCTACTATCATGTTCTTTTGAATACCCCAGTAGCTTTGCCTCTCCTGAAATCAGTCTTTTCATGGATGGAATACCTTACTTAGTATCTGCCAAAATTGACTCATTTTATTTGATGAGGTGGACAATTAGCATTTTCACAGTGCTTTCTTCTAGGTTAGTTATTAATCCATAGTGGAAACTCTAAAAACTTACAGGTTAAATGGGTCCAAGTAAAAACATAATTATGTAATGTCTTGCCTAATATTTCATATGAAAAGTATTAAAAGTTGCATATTATTTTGTGTAACATTTGGTTTTGAAGAGGATACATGACTTCTTTAGGTTAACAATGTACTTATTTGAAAATTGAAGAATCTACTTTAATTCCACAAAAAAGTCAGTTCTATGACTCATAGTAAAACAATCTACTCCATGGGTAGATGTTTGACTTTGTGGATATAGCATTCTTGTCTATACCCTGAAGATGATGTGTTTACTTAATTCCTTTTATTTTATTACTGTCAATGAAAGCAAATCTAAATTACTATGCAGATATTACTAATATGTTCTGTTTAATCTAATTATGGCAAAATGTGAAAATACAGAAAAAATAACACATACTTAGATGTTTTCTAATGAGGGCAATACATTATTGCTTTCAATAATTTGGAGGTGAGTACTTTCAATACTTATTTTCTCTGGTGAATACTTTCATTAATTGTATTTATAGTCCAGGGGAGGCATAATGAATTTAAAAAGTATGTATCATTTTTTGAAACAGTCTAATTTCTTTGGGAAAGGCATTCTTATCAGATTAGAGTTTTCTTGTCAGGCATTCAGTTCTTGATTCAATGACATTGTTTCCTTCAAAGAAAAGAAAGCATTCATTTAAACCTTATATTATTATTTTTCTTAATAATCCCTATAAACACTAGAAATAAAAGTCAGCATTTCTCACAGTTTTCAATTCTGTTCTTCTCAGCATTTTATACAAAAGCCAGTGAGCACCATAGTTACAACTTTGATAAAAATCAAAAGTGAGTAAGTCTTTGAAATTCTACTATCAATCTTAAGTAGACTTTGAAGGGAGTAGTTCATATTTATTATGTGATAAAGAAATAAAAAAGGAGACATTTTGCTAAGGTGATTGATTTTTGAAAATACTGTTGCCTGAAATACAAGATTAATTTGGAGAACTAAGTTGCTATAGAGAATTAGTAAGAAGACAGGTTATAAAAAAATCTGAAAGCAAACATCACACTTATAACATTCAAAGTAGACATAAACTGTCTATTGGACAGGGCTATAATTACATTTCTTTTATCTGCTGAAAGAATCACTGTCAGCTTTCTATAATGAACTCAATAGTACCTGGGGGCTTTTTAATCTTAGAATTTCTACAGTCATGCATCAGTGCTGAAATTATACATCTCATGTGTTTTATGATTGAAGAAAACTCTGGACATGTATGATTGGATATTGCTAACATCCCATTGAATTCCCTTGCTAGTGAGCTTTCAGTATAATTTAAACCCCCTTATTAACAGAAAATTAGATGAAGAAATTCTAACTGACAAATATGTAATAAAAATGAGGAAAAATACAACATATACAATTGAACAGTCTGAATTATTAACTCTGTATTAGCCACTTAAGAGCACAAAGAAACTAAATTATAATTTATATTAAACACACAGGCATTCATCTCATATAATTTGTGAAACTGTGCTTTGCATAAATGTGTTACTTATAAATATTTTATATTCATAAGCAAACATTTAAATATTATATTACAACATAGTTTATTAAGCAATAAAATAAAAACCATGGCATTTGTTGAAGAAGGGGAAAGATTTTTCATTACAGTTGATAGTATACAGTTTCCAATCAATCTAAGAGTTTGGAATAGAAAAATATATTATATTTTTTAACCCCAAACCCTGGGAATGAAAAAAAAAGATAAAGAATTTACTGTTTTCAATGGAATGACAATTTTTTTTGGGAATGTTTATTTACAGATCCTCCTGGGGGATGTGTTAGGAAAAAGAGAGAAGGCAAAGAACGGGGAAGTATAATTTTGCTTAATAACATTTCAGACAATGAAATGCTCTCAAATCCCTTTTGTTGTCTGTAAAATTTCTGAAAGCTACTCATGAGTGCTCAAATCAAGCTTTGGGTTTTTCTTAATTCTTAACATAAAGGATCTTTCAACCCTATACCAGGAAAATTGCTACATATAATGTATTACCTTTCAGAAATATATGGATATATCCTTATGGTAGTTTGCTTTCAGCTAATAGCTTATCATTATAGCATAATACTTCTTTAGCTAAAACAATTATAGCTGAATAGTAGCAATATCATTGAGCATACTATTGCATGGAATCATGGTTTCAAAAATGATCTTAGACAACATTTAGTTGAATAATTTTTTACAAGTTTTGCTCATTTGTACCTTAAATTTGTGAAAAACAATGTCTTTCTTCAGATATTTTTAACTTGACAGTGATTTTTTTACATCATAATTTTAAGTATCTTACATTTTTTTTTTTTTTTTTTTTTTTTTTTTTTTTTTTTACAGATTCTTGCTCTGTCTCTAGGCCGGAGTGCAATGACATGATCTTGACTCACTGCAACCTCCGACTCCCAGGGTCAGACAATTCTCCTTCTTCAGCCTCTCAAGTAGCTGGAATTACAGGTGCCCACCACCACGCCTGGCTAATTTTTGTATTTTTAGTAGAGATAGGGTTTCACCATGTTGGCCAGGCTGGTCTTGAACTCTTAAGGTCAAGTGATCCACCCATCTCATCCTGCAAAGTGCTGGGATTACAGGCATGAGCCACTGCACCTGACCCGTATTTTATAAATGCTGATATTTAAAAATTAAACTGCTACATATAAGAAAATGCAAAATCTGTAGTGACTTGATAGTTAGACTTATTCATTTAAAATACATGAACTAGTGGCTCATGCCTATAATCACAGCACTTTGGGAGGATGAGGCTGGTGGATCATTTGAGGTCAGGAGTTCAAGACCAGCCTGGCCAACATGGTGAAACCTTATCTCTGCTAAAAATACAAAAATTAGCCAGGTGGTTGTGGTGCATGCTTGTAATCCAGCTTCTCGGGAGGCTGAGGTGGGAGAATCCCTTGAGCCTGGGAGGCGGTGGCTGTGGTAAGCTGAGATCATGCCACTGCATTCCAGTCTGGGTGACAGAGTGAGACCCTGGCTTGAAAAAACAAAACAAATATGTTTGTATGTGTACTGTTTTATACCAAGAGTACTCAACCTGTTTGTGTGTGTGGTTACACTTATAAGTCTGCTCTACGGACAGATATGAAAGTGCAGGGGTGGAATGGAAATCTGTGTAAACCCTCATGGTGGATGTGGTATAAAGTTTTTCTCCCTTTAAGAGAACCTGCTGCAAGAGCTGGCTTAACATTCACAAGTCAATAAATATGATACACTGCATAAACAGAATTAAAAACAAAAATCACATGATCATCTCAATAGATGCAGAAAAAGCATTCGACAAAATCCAGCATCCTTTTATGATTAAAACTCTCAGCAAAATTCGCTTACAAGGGAAATACCTCAAGGTAATAAAAGCCATCTGTGACAAACACACAGCCAACATAATACTGAATGGGGAAAACTTGAAAGCATTCCCTCTGAGAACTGGAACAAGACAAGGATGCCCACTGTCACCACTCCAACATAGTACTGGAAGTCCTAGCCAGACCAATCAGACAAGAGGAAGAAATAAAGAGCATCCACATTTGTAAAGAGGAAGTCAAACTGTCACTGTTTGCTGATGATATGATTGCTTATCTAGAAAACCTTAAAGTCTCCTCCAGAAAGCTCTTAGAACTGATAAAAGAATTCAGCAAAGTGTAAGGATACAAAATTAATGTAAACAAATCAGTAGCTCTTGTATACACCAACAGTGACCAAGCAGAGAATCAAATCAAGAACTCAACCTCTTTTACAATAGCTGCAAAAAAAAGATAAAATACTTGGCAATATACTTAACTAAGGAGGTGAAAGACCTCTACAAGGAAAACTACAAAACATTGTTGAAAGAAATCATAGATAATACAAACAAAACACATCCCATACTTATGGACGGGCAGAATCAATATTGTGAAAATAACCATATTGCCAAAAGTAATCTACAAATTTATTGCAATTCCCATCAGAATACCACCATCATTCTTCACAGAATTAGAAAAAACAATTTAAAAATTCATGTAAAACCAAAAAAGAACCTGTATAGCCAAAGCAAAGCTAAGCAAAAAGAACAAATCTGGAGACATCACATTACCTGATTTCAAACTATACTATAAGGCCATAGTCACCAAAACAGCATGTTACTTGTATAAAAATAAGCACATAGACCAATAGAACAGAATAGAGAATCCAGAAATAAACCCAAATACTTACAGCCACCTGATCTTCAACAAAGCAAACAAAAACATAAAGTGGGGAAAGGACACCCTTTTCAACAAATAGTGTTGGGATAATTGGCTAGGAGAATGAAACTGGATCCTCATCTCTCACCTTGAGCAAAAATCAACTCAAGATGGATTAAGGACTTAAATATAAGACCTGAAACTAAAAATTCTAGAAGATAACATTGGAAAAACCCTTCTAGATATTGGCTTAGGCAAAGACTTCATGACCAGGAACCCAAAAGCAAATGCAATAAAAACAAAGATTAATAGCTGGGGTCTAATTAAACTAAAGAGCTTCTTCATGGCAAAATGAACAGTCAGAGAGTAAACAGACAACCCCCAGAGTGGGAGAAAATCTTCACGATCTATACATCTGACAAAGGACTAATATCCAGAATCTACAATGAACTCAAACAAATCCGTAAGGAAAAAGAAACAAAAAAAACTCATCAAAAAGCGGGCTAAGGACATGAATAGATAATTCTCAAAAGAAGATATGCAAATGGCCAGCAATCATATGAAAAAATGCTCAGCATCACTAATGATCAGGGAAATGCAAATTAAAACCACAATGCGATACCACCTTACTTCCGCAAGAATGGCCATAATCAAAAAATCAAAAATAGTAGATGTTGCTGTGGATGCGGTGAACAGGGAACACTTCTATGCTGCTGGTGAAAATGTAAACTAGTACAACTGCTATGGGAAAGAGTATGGAGATTACTTAAAGAAATAAAAATCCCAGCTGGACGCAGTGGCTCACGCCTGTAATCCCAACACTTTGGGAGGCTGAGGCAGGTGGATCATTTGAGGTTAGGAGTTCGAGACCAGCCTGGCCAAAATGGTGAAACTACATCTCTACTAAAAGTACAAAAATTAGCCCGGTGTGGTGGTGGGCACCTGTAGTCCCAGCTACCTGGGAGGCTGAGGCAGGAGAATCGCTTGAACCTGGAAAGGCCAAGGTTACAGTGAGCCAAGAACATGCCATTGCCCTCCTGCCTGGGCCACAAGAGCAAAACTCCATCTCAAAAAAAAAAAAAAAAAAAAAAAGAAATAAGGAATAAAAGTCCTGAGAAGCAGCTTCCCTGCTCCTTGCTCCTTCTGGAATCTCCACCTGGTTCAGCCCACCTGCCTCCACCATGTCCATCAGGTTGACCCAGAAGTCCTACAAGGCGTCCACCTCTATCCCCGGGACCTTCAGTAGGTGCTCTTATGCCAGGGGGCCTGGGGCTCACATTGGCTCCTTGAGCTTCTCCCGAGTAGGCAGCAGCAGATTCCAGGGTACCCTAGGCAGAGGCCATGGTGGGGCCAGCAGTATAACCAGGGCCATGGTCAACCAGAGCCTGCTGAACCCCCTTAACCTGGAGGTGGACCCAAACATCCAGGCCGTGTGCACCCAGGAGAAGAAGCAGATTAAGACTCTCAGCAAGTTTGCCTCCTTCATCGACAAGGTACAGTTCCTGAAGGAGCGGAACAAGATGCTGAAGACCAAGTGGAGCCTCCTGCAGCAGCAGGAGATGGCTTGGAGCAACATGGACAACATGTTGGAGAGCTACATCAATAACCTTCGATGGCAGCTGGAGACTCTGGGCTAGGAGAAGCTGAAGCTGGAGGTGGAGCTTGGCAACATGCAGGGGCTGGTGGAGAACTTCAAGAATAAGTACGAGGATGAGATCAATACGCATACAGAGATGGAGAATGTATTTGCTACCATTCTTAATAAAGAATTAATTTATTTTGACTGAAACACATACTGTATATTTTTTGTTCCCTTGATACAACTCACATAGCTGCTTAACATAAACATGAGGGGGCATCTTACTGTCCTTTGTTGAAGTCTGCACAACATAATCTCCTATTTGTTTCTCTGCAGCATACTGAGAAGTAAGAGGTACGCATGCTTGTTCCTGTGGGAACCTGTGAGGAGGTCAGATCTACCATTTCACCTCTTTCCGCATCCTCTCTCACATAGAGCATCTAATGGCTTCCTCCTCCCTAGTGCAACACCCTTTCTGAGTACCCCCATTTCAGAGGGTGCATGTTAAAAGATACATGATTTTATATACCTCTAATTCTCATTTTCTCAGTGACCATCACTTCAGTGTTGATCAAGTCCAAAACTTTATTTCATCTACTGCGAGTTATTAAAATGACTATACCTTAATCCAAATGGTCAGAAACCTGAAGGAAAAACTTCAAAGTATCCTCTGCTATCTGGTGGAATATATGATAATGGAAGCTGCTTGTTCCTCTGCCTTCAGGCTGGTGTCACCTTGGATATGCCTACAGAGTTTACCTGCCAGAGCATAACAAATATAGAGTGCATGTGGATTATTTTTCTTTTCATAATTTTCTGTGTTGAGTGATATTTCTATTTCACTGTTTCTGTACAGACAGAGCTTAAAATAATTTTACGGTTGACTTAGATGAAGGAATAAGACTTGAATTTTGCGTAGGTAACTTGCAAACGCAAAAGGGATAAGAGAATATATGGTAGAGTTGAGGAAATGCAAATAATTTAGTTAACCAAAGAGAAAGAGTGAAGAAGGTTGATACATTACATTGATAAAAGTATACAGATGGCATATCCTAAGGTGCTAGAAATAAATTTTTATGTTAGGCACATATTTCTGGAAACTATGAACTAGATAGAGAAAAGGCTAGTTTGAGTATTACATTTTTCTAGGCAATAAATGATGAAAATTTGAACTTGATGCTTATATTTTCGATGGATAACGTGATAGTTAATTTTGTGTATTATGGCATACCTAGATATTTAGCTAAACTTTCTGGATATCTTTGTGTGGATGTTTCTGGATGAGATTAATATTTAAATTGGTAAAGTAAAGCACATTGCCCTTCCCAATTTGGGTCAGCCTTATCCACTCAGTTGAAGCCTGAATAGAATAAAACAGTGAGTAGGAAAGAATTTTTTCTCTCGGTCTGACTATCTTTAAGTTAGGACACGGTTGTCTCCTATTTTTGGATTTGGACTTGGACCAGACTTACACCATTGGTTTTCTTGCTTTTCAGTCATTCTTTATTTTTTGCACTTGTCTTTTTAACTTACTAGAATTCTTAATTTGTTGTGGGTACATAGAATGTATATATATTTATGGGGTTAAAGGAATGTTTTGATACAGGCACGCAATGCATAATAATCACATCATGGAGAATGGGGTATCCATTCCCTCAAGCATTTATCTTTTGTGTTACAAACAATCTAGTTATACCCTTTTAGTTTTTTTAAAAATGTACAACTAAGTTAGTATTGACTTTAGTCATTCTGTTGTGCTATCAAATAGGCTTTTTAGTAATTCTATTTTGGACTGGAACTATACTATTGCCTTTCTCGGGTTTAGACTTCTCAGCCTCCATGATTGCATAAGCCAATTCCTTATGATAAATCCCTCTCTCTGTCTCTCTCTCCCCACATCCTATTGGCTCTGTTTCTCTGGAGAATCATGACTAATACACATTTTGGTACTGAGAAGTGGGGTGCTACTGTAACAAATACTTAAAAATGTTGTAGTGGCTTTGGAACTGGGTAATGGGCAGAGGCTGAAAGAGTTTTAAGGTGTGTGCTAGAAAAGCTGAGATTGTTATGAAAGGATTATTAAGGATTGTGAAGAGATTCTGATGAGGGCTCGGAAACAAAAGAGAACATCTGTAGATAGAGCGTCTATTCTTAGAGAATACATATATAATTATAAACAGGATATTGGTAGAAATGCTGGCAAAGATTACTCTGGTGAGGTCTTAGATGTAAATGGGTGCACATTATTGTTATAAAGTGAGAAATAATTTGGCTGAACTGTGTTCTAATGTTTTGTGGAAGGTAGAATTTGTGAATGGTGAAACTGTATATTTAGCTAAAATTTCTAAGCCAAATATTGAAGAAATGGCTTGGTTCTTCCTGACTTCCTATAGTAAAAGATGAGAAGAGAGAAAGAAAGTGAAGAAGGAACTATTAAGCACAAAGAAACCCGAACTTTAAGACTTGGAAAATTATCAGCCTATCCATATAGCAAACAACAGTTTGATAATAACATTGGGCTGAGTGTGAACTGTGGACTTAATCAGCCACCACAGCAGAAACACTGCCATGCTGAACAGGAGAAAACAGAGATGGAACAAGATGAAGGAAGGATGTTGATTCTTTTAGACTCTACAGGACCAGATCATAGAGCTATTTGGCTGTGAACACTCACTATTCTTCAAACAGGAAAGAAAGACTCCAAAGGCAATTCAAAGATCAATGGAGTAGCCTCCTCAGTTTCAAAGTAGTGAGTGGAAGGTAAGAGACCACCTGGGTTTCAACAGGCCAGAAAGCAGTTGCCTGGAGCCTTGCAGAGCCACAGAGGTGGGACAAAAGCCCGAGAACCAAAGAGAATTATTCTTGAGCCTTAAGATCTAATAGTATTTACCTTGCTAGTTTTGGTGCTGCTTGCTTGGCACCCATCTCCCCTTTCTTCCTTCTGATTTCCTTTTTTTTTTTTTTTTTTTTTTTTTAGGAATAAGAATGTCTAGTTTATGCCTGTCCTACCACTGTATTTTGGAAGGACGTAATTTGTCTTGCATCACAGGTTCACAGCCATAGAGGATTTTAGCCTCAGGATAAATTGTACCTCATGTCTTATATCTGATTTGGATGATATTTATAAACAACTTTGAACTTTAGAGTTGATGCTGAAGCAAGTTAAGACTTTTGGGGCTTTTGAGATGGAATGATATATTTTGTACGCAAGAAGATTGTACATTTAAGAAATCAGGGTTATAATGTTATACAGTGAACATTTGTGTCCTTACAAAATCATATGTTGAAGCCCTAACTCCCAAATATTTAGTATTTATAGTGTTTGGAAGAAGGGCCTTTGGGGGATGATTAAATTTAGATGAGATCATGTGAGAGGGCCCCCACGATGGACTTAATATCCTTATAAGGGGAGAAAAGAGACCAGAATTCACTCCCTGTCCCCCTTCACTATGTGAGGACACAATGAGAAGGGGACCATCTGCAAGACTGGAAGAGAGTCATCAACATAAACTATATTGATTGGCACTTTGACCTTGGACTTTTTAGCCTCAGGAACTGTGAGAAATAAATGTCTGCTTTTTAAGCCATCCAATATGTGTTATTTTGTTATAGCAGCCTGAGCAGACTAAGATAGATAATGAGAGGAGGGATGTAGGGATTATTCAGAAGTTTCTAAAAAATTTCAAGGTGGGTGTAATTTTCCAGGAGAGGAATTGTTAGAAGAAAGAAAATTGTGAGAAGAAAAGAGGGAAAGTTTTGAAGATCAATGATGATTAGTCCTTTGGAACATATTGGAGTGGGGGACATTTGCAAAGTTGAAGTTCCTAAGTAAAGATGTTTGGCATGAAATTGGGTCTATAAATATGGAACAGAGGAAAGCGATTGGGAGTAGAGATGTAAATTTCAGAAATTTAATTTATAATGGGAACATCATAAATATGCTATAGGTAAATAATATTATGAAAGGACCACATTTTAAAATACAAAATACCATTTATGTATAATATTTTAATAATTCAAAATATTTTTATAGTTTATTTTAGAAGCAGTGTGATGAAAGAGACCATTATAATTTGTCTAGTTTATCATCATCTTGCCTTGTGGGAACAGGACTTATTCCAATCAGATAGAAAGTTCTATTCACTTATGACACACTAGAGAAAACCTAGGAAACAATGAGATTAATGATTCCTTCACCCACTTCCTCTTTCTTCCAAATTTGAACTGGTTTAAGGCTCTCAATGGTAAGAGTGCTTAAAATGCACAGGTTACAGAAACAATATTTCCTTTTAAAATTTCTTTTGCCATCTCAATAATCAGCAAAAATTTCCTGTATAGGAAAAATAATATCCTGCTAAATTTAGATTTTCTCATGCTTACCTTTAGGTATATCATCTCATTTCAGCATTTCTCTTTCTTTATAGCTGTGGAGAGCAATTATCTTAGGTAATGTCAGTAGGAATAGAATCCTCTGAATTATACAGTGGCTGCCAAAAAAAACCTCTCAAAATAGTGTTCAGTAATTAGCAAAATGTTCTCATGTCATATCACTTAGACCATGGATCATTGACTAACCATAAAGAAGAACTAGCTTTATCATTTCAGCATTCCAGTTTGGGCTAATTTAGGTTGTACAGATTGCTTAATCAAACATCTCTTTCTTACTCATGAGACTTTAAGGTAACTGAATTTAGGTTCTGGGAAAGAAGTAATTTATAGACCATGTTGTCATATCATTCCAGATGAGGAAACTGAGGCCAAGTTGTGATGAACTGATCAAGAAATATTTAGATATTCAAAAGCTATTCACTCTGCCAGCACTCTTTCCTTTGCCTGTATAACATCTTGGGTTTTTGCAACATATAACTTTCAGAAGTATGCAAAATTCAATCAACACAGTCCTGTTGGGGTCAGTCTTTAGAGGAAGTAGCAGGCTATGGTGATGCACACATGACCGTATCAGTTTACGTTTCTCCCAAAACAGAGCCTGAGAATGAGGACTTGGGTGCAGGTGGCTTATTGTGGAGGTGGTCCAAGGAAGCAAGAGTGAGAGCTGGGGAAAATGAGATAAGGCAGAAGGAAAAAACAATTTTATGGTATATTTCCAGGGCTACTTTACTGAGGAATGTGGGTTTGATTCCACTGGAATATCCTGAGAAATGGGCAGGAGGCTTACCAGAATTACCCATCCAGAAAAATTGGGAGACATTTTTCCACCATCCCTTACACCCATTGGTTGAAGGTTGCCCCTGTGGCATTAACTATCCTGTTTCTGGGGTGAAATTTGGCAGGGCACTAAGACAGATCTTAGTTCAAGTCCTGGATTCTTAATTTACCAGTTGTGTTTATTATTATTACGTAGCATTTTGAAGACAGATAGTTATTCCTTACATTTTGATGTTATGTAATGGGATTTTTGTAAAAAACACGTTACAATGTGGCCCTACATAATGGTTCATTTTTTTCCTTAGTAAAATTTAGAAAGTCACAAATTTATTTTGAACAATTTTTTTGTTTTTCAAGCACTCAAAGATCAATGGTGGAGACAGTGTGTCTAATTCAATTAGGACTGCTATAATAAAATAACAGACTGGGTGACTCATAAACAATAAAAATTTATTTCTCATAGTTACAGACAGTGGAAAGGTGAAGATGAAGGCACTAGAAGATTGGTTGACTGGGGAATGTCTGCTTCCTCATTGACACCTGCCTTCCATTGTAACCTTGCATGGCAGGAGGGGCAAGGGACTTCTCTAGGGTCTCTTTCATAAGGGCTGGCACTAACCTTATCCATGAGGGCTCCTCCCTCATAACCTAATCACCTGCCAAGGCCCTACCTCCATAACCATCATATTGGGGATTAGGATATAATCATAGGAACTTCAGGGGGACACCAGTATTTAGTCCATTGCACAGTGTAACCTCATTATAACACTGTCTCATGGATAGACTGCATGAATACAATAAGATGTCATAGTGAGATTCCTGAATACATCAAGAAAAAATAAAGCATCAGTGACACTGAAATTACTTTTCAGAGTTTGGCATATGTATTCCTGTGTTAAGAAAATGGGAAAAAAGCCAGCTTTAATAGAATGACAGGGGCTCATATTTCATAAATATTAAGAATTACAGGATGTAGATGATGGGAAATTGAGAGGAATAGCAATTACCATGAGACAGGAGTGCCACTTTTGAAATTTATTCTTATTATATGAGTGCCTGTGTCCTGAAAAAGTTACATATGTCATTTGTATCCCCAAGAAGCCCTCATGATGTATTCCCATTTCATATTTGCATGAGATCAGAGAACTCCAGTTGTTAGTAAGGGAGGAAAGCCTTAAGTATAATGAATTAAATAATTAAAATAGCAATGGATTTGCACTTATGTCTGTGTGGAAAAAAATGTTAGAGATTAGATAAACCCTTGGTAGGTGCCAGAGTTTCTTGCTAAATTGTTCAGAATTTCTTGATGATGTAATGGTGACAATGTTCATTTCTTTATATGTATTTCTGAGTGTGCTAGGCTTTTTGGAAATTTTTTTAGGTGAAGATTTAATATGGCTTTGAAAATTTGGAATTGTCACATTCTGCACTGTAATAAAACTCCTTATTAAGTTTTGAACACTGTGTGATTAACAAAAATACGTTGACATTTTGTATTAGCTCGTTCTCACACTGCTAATGAAGACATGCCCAAGACTGAGTAATTTATAAAGAAAAGAGGTTTAATTGATTCACAGTTCTGTATGGCTTGGGAGGCCTCAGGAAACTTACAATCATGGCAGAAGGGGAAGCAAACACATACTTCTGCACATGACGGCAGCAAGGAGAAGTGCAGAGTAAAGGGGCAGGGGAAGGCCCCTTATAAAACCATCAGATCTTGTGAGAACTCACTCACTATCATGAGAATAGCATGAAGGTAACTGTCCTCATGATGAAACACCTTCACTGGGTCCCTCCCATGATACATGGGGATTATGGAAACTATAATCAAGATGAGATTTGGGTGGGGACACAGCCAAACCATATCACATTTCTTCCATGAAAGATGAGTGATTACAAAATTCATAACTCATAGTAAGAAAGATGACAACATTGTGAAACAGTGTGACTGCTTTTTCTTTATCCAGCTGTTATAAGACAATATCAATATCTTAGCAATCATTGCAAAGTTTCTACCTCTTAGTTGGGAATAATACACGTGTCAGTTTTAAAGTATGGTTTAGTCTGGAGACAAAATATTGGTCCATATAACTTGTCAAAGTCTCAATTCCTTTTGTATTTCAGGATATAAAGGGGAGAAGATATGATAATTATTTGCAGGATAATTGTGAAAAAAGAACAATAAGAGTCAGTCACAAATAATATTATGGCTTAGGCTTTACCAACTGATGTCTATAAAAAACAGTAAAATTTCTTATATCCAAATTAGGGTTCCATGGACTGAAACTCCATCTCTCTAGGAGGCTGAATGTTAACCTCTCTCAGTGCATTTCTTGTTATTTTCAAAAGTACTTAAATGAGACTACAGATATTCTTATAATTCATCCAGTCAGCTACAGTTATTAAGGGTATTACTTTTCTTATCCTTTTCTGTTTCTCATTTGTCTACCTACACTGCCTGAGAAGCCAATTGGCCACTGCCTGTATTGGGACCTCCAATGTCAATATTAAGTAACCTGACTCTGAATGATATCTTTCAAGACTTCTAGTCTTGGAAGACTTCAGTCATTATTACTGAAGAATTAGGAGAATAGACTTCTCCTCAATTATTTGCCACACTTTGTTTTCTTGTCTTAAAAGCACCTATGTCTGTGTCCACAATCTTACCAATTGCATCAGTTAGTATATCAGCTGCCCATCCTCTGTTATTTAATCACAAGAGTTTACCTAGTCCATGGACCAGCTGAAGAATAGGCTCTGTAAAATCCTATGTATCCTCCTCCTTCTTCTTGTACTTCAGGGAGGTGAAGAGTTGAGGAACATTGAATGAGAGGTGAGGTATGTTTCTTCTGATGACATTCACATCCCAATTAAGCCAGCAGAGACTACCTTATTGTAGTTCCATTCTTACTTAAACTGTGAGCCACCACCACCATCACCATTACCACAACATACACACAAACACACACACGCTTACAAACTTTATTTTATTGATAAGGAAATGAATTAACTAATGTGTTTGAGATCATGCAACTAAAGCAAAACTGAAATCCAAGTAAGTCTGTCTGAGACCATAAAAACAACTTTAAATATGATTTGACTCAATCTTAAGTATAAAAACTTTGAGATATTGAGAAGTTTGCTGCTTTTTCTTACCATTCTGCCATTGTGAAATGTAAGCAACAAAAAGGAAAGCTGATAAATTCAGATTATAATACTAAAAATATTTTAGAAAAATATCCTACTGATTCCATTAATCATATCTCAACATTATGTCATCAGTTTAGATAATGTTGATAATTATATTCAAAGATGGCATTAGGTGGAACTATATTTTACATTTTTTCCAGGAGTGTGGATAGATTCATTTTCAGTCATGTATATAGTTTCATTTAATTGACTTTTTAAAACCAAGACTTAAATACAATGAAAATTGTGATTGAGAATTAGCATTGCATTTCATGGCTGTTGTAAAAAATTATATTAACTGTTCTATATGGAAATTAAAAAAAACTTTGAGATGGAAAATAATTCAATGAAGAGCACCATGAAGTATAGTAGTATATAACTTGAAAAAAATAGAGAATAAAAGAATCACAGTCTCCATGCTCTTCTATAGAAATTTATGTAAATATGTTTATAATCTAGAAATATGAAACAGAAATGAAACAAAGTCTTTATTGTGGCCAGGCACGGTGGCTCATACCTGTAATCCTCACACTTTGGGAGGCTGAGGTGGGCAGATCATTTGAGGTGAAGTTTGCAAGGAGCCAAGATCAAGCCCCTGCACTCCAGTCTGGGCAACAGAGAGAGACTCTGTAACAAAAAACAAACAAACAAACAAACAAACACAGCCTTCTTGTGAGATCATTGTTTTGTTTTGTGAACCAATCAACTACAAAATTGGAAGATATTTGTTACCAAAATATGAGTTAAAATTGGCATTGTTCCCTTTTATTCCAGAGAGGATGCAGCCAGTTGAGAGACACTGACAAGTGTTTAGAAGTTTAGATTATGAAATTAAACTCAATCCAGGATGAGAGCCTGAAAATTCCAAAGTTATTTTATTTAACTCATTTTGTTGAAAATTACCTTTTTTCAAAATATATATGTGTCAAGCTATTTTTAGAAATATCAAATTCTGCCCCCCTCATCCAATTACAAAGTGATTCAAGCTTAAGGGGCTCAAGAGAATGTTAATATTATATTCAGTGAGGAAAAATAGAAGGAAGATTTAGGATACAACTCCTGTGGTGTGCCGTATGGTATATGTTTTGTCTAATGGATCTTTGTAGGACAAATTTAAGTGTATCAGCTTCATTGTAAATATAATATCAAAATTTTCTGATTTGAACTGTTTTTGACAACCTAATTTATAATATCTTCTGAAGTGGAATTTAAAGTAAAAGTGTGAATTACATAAAGTATAAATAAGAAAGCAAAAACAGTATCATAAAAAAGCGGTCCCCTCTGATTTGGTCTAACATGATGGTGATTTTATAAGGCAAGGATGTTGAATTTTCTAACAGGAATAAATATGTATGAACAATACTTCTTCCAAGCAGTGAGTTCTTGGTTCCTTTAGGTGATTCATTTCTATTCAGTAAAATAGATGTCTTCAGTGTTCTGAGTAATCAGTTTATCTCTAGAGAGAACACAAAGCATTCTGGGACATTATTTTTCAGTAGTATAGAGTTATTAATAATCCAAAGAATAATGGACATTTATTCAAAGGAATTCTGGGAACTTCTATCATTTAATATGATAGCTTTGCTGGTTGCATTCTCTGATCAAAATCACTTACTTTTATTAGATAGTTAAGATAAAAAATTTCATAATTCAAATAACATATGCAAACAGAATGCTATCTCATTTCAAGTTTATCTTAAGTGATACTGAAACAAATTTCAACGTGAAGCTGCTTTTTTACTTGAATAGCTGGATTGCTGGTGTACAAATTCTTAAACTTGTTTTGTTTTTAAAAAAATACTAATTAAAATAATGGTATATAAAAGTGTCATCTTCCAGATAATTATTCTTTGAAAACATAAAAATACAAATATAAACACATAATATTTTACCTGGTCTTGCATTTCATATAGCAAATTGATGAAAAAAGCAAACATGCCCAAAATAAATGAGCACTTCCATATAATTTTCAAATTTGCACAAGTATTTGAAAATTAGTGGACATAGAGGCTAAAATTGTCACCTTAAAAGACCATGGGCCTTTTGAAAAAAACATGAAGTAGCAGGTTGTCCTTGCCATGGCTTCTCCTCCTCCTGCTCTTCCACCTCCTTTTCCTTCTCCTTTTTCTTCTTCTTTTTCCTTTGGAAAGGCATCTTTAGACTACCTCTGTCAAATTTCTTAATGAAGTAACTCTTATTACTCCTAAATGTTAAAAATAAGATATAATGTTTAACTGAATTTTCCTATTAAATATTATAAGATATAATTTTAAGTTTTGAAGAAATTAGCATATAATAAAATACAATTAGCATTATAGGCCAGGTGCGGTAGCTCACGTCTGTAATCCCAGCACTTTGGGAGGCCAAGGCAGGTGGATCACCTGAGGTCATGAGTTCGAGATCACCCTGGCCGACATGGCAAAACCCCTTCTTTACTAAAAATATAAAATCAGCCAGGCGTGGTGGCACATGCCTGTTATCCCAGCTACTTGGGAGGCTGAGGCAGGAGAATCGCTTGAACCTGGGAGGCAGTGAGCAGAGATCGCACCATTGCACTCCAGCCTGGGCAACAAAAGTGAAACTCCGTCTCAAAGATAAAAACAAAACAAAACAGAAAAAGAAACAAGCAAAAACCATTATAATCATATTATACAGGATTTAACTTATGTTTTATCTCCTCTAGGCATTTAGGATCAAGCAAACCTTTAAAGTCATTATAATGAATATCAGCTATGTGTGTTTCACACTTTAGAAAAAATTCTCACTTTCTGTATTTTGCAGTGGTTTGGATATTTGATGTGTGTGATTTTAATATGTAAACACATTTTTCTGTGACATTTGAATGCTTTTATTTAATATGTGTATGCTTTTCTTTTCTTTTTCCCTTTATTACAAGTTTAGTCTTGGGCTGTAAAACTGTCTTGTGTTTTACTGAGCTATAAAAATCCTTGCACACTGATCATAGAACCACAAAACCATCCGTGGATTTATCAGATTGACCAATCTATAACCTTGTAGTTTACTGGTGAATAAAGAAGCACTGGGATATGTTGTACTTGCACCTTATTTTAGAAAATTCTCAGCTGGTCACATTAACGGTCTAGAATATTGTTTTCTGTTTGAGAATTCCTTATGAATATTAGGAATTCGATTAAATTCTATATTTAACTTAACATTTGTGGAACACCCTTGTAGATCTTACATCTTAGAGTATTCAAAGTGCTATGCTCTGTGGATGGCAATAATCTGATACAGATTGCAATTTAATTGTATCTCACATGATTGAAGAAAAGGTTTCAGTTTCACCAGAGTCCCTCAGTACAATATGGTAGACCATTTTCACCCATGTTTGAGGATGTAGACAGTTTATAGACTTGTAGATTGTCTAGAAAAGCTGTGTTAAGTATTAATTATATATTTTCAATGAAGTGAATTCTAATGGGGTCACAGTAACAGAAGAACTGAACTACAAAACCTACGATGGAGAACCCAGCTGTCAGAAAAGTCACACTCACCCTGATTACCCACAGTAAATGAAACAGAAGATGCTTATTAGATAAAGGCTGTTTTGATTAAATTTCTATTTTCTCACTGAAAGCATTTATAAAGCCAATCTCTTTGAAGGTGTTTTAATTTTTGTTCTTGGGTTGGACATTTTCAAGCACTAACTCTGTAGACACTAAAGAGCTCATCTGAAGTGTATAGCAGGAACACTTGAAATTGAAGCAGGCTGAGTTTTAAATTCTGTGGAAAATTTTTTGAAAAAGTTCAGAATTTTCACATAATAATTTATTTACTTTCAGGAAAGTAATACATGCTGCCCTGCTGATTGTTGTAATGTGGATGAAAGTTAACTCTGTGTAAATTGAAAATTAGAAAGCCCATTTTTTTCATCTTTTATGTGTTGGTTAAAATAAATTTTCAGAAACAAAAATTGGGTTTTATGTTACTTTATCTCTATACTTGTTCTTTGGCACAGCATTTAAAAAAAACATGTCAGAGAAATGTTAATATTAGGTTGGTACAAAAGTAATTGTGATTTTTGCCACTACTTTTAAATAAAAGTAATCCTAAAATTCATATGGAACTAAAAAGGAGTGTGAATCATTAAAGCAATCCTAAGCAAAAAGAACAAAGCTGGAGGCATCACATTACCTGACTTCAAATTACATTACAAGGCTATAGTAATCAAAACAGCATGATACTGGTACAAAAATAAACATATAGGTCAATGGGATAAAATAGAGAACTGAGAAATAAAGCTGCATATTCATATCCAAATGATCTTTGACAAAGTTGACAAGAACATACATTCAGGAAAGTACACCTTTTTCTTTTTTCTTCTTTTCTTTTCTTTCTCTTTTCTTTTTTCTGTCTCTCTCTCCTTCCCCTCCCTTTCCCCCTCCACTCCCCTCACCTCCCTTCCCTTCCTTTGGACAGGGTCTTGCTGTGTTGCCCAGGCTAGAGTGTAGTGGCATGACATAGTTCACTATAACCTTGAACTCCTGGGCTCAAGCAGTCCTCCCACCTCAGCCTCCTGAGTAACTGGGACTACAGGTGCTCACCATCATGCCCAGATAATTTTTAAATTTTTATTTTGGTGTAGAGATGGGGGTCTCACTATGTTGCCAGAACATGTCTTGAACTCTGGGCCTCAAGTGATCCTTCCACCTTGGCTTCCAAAGTGTTGGGATTACAGGGGACCACCATCACTCACCAGAGATCATCATTCTTGAAATATCTTTGATGTCTCTGATATTCCTAATCTCATCCTCCTTCTCCCTCAGATAAATCACTATTCTGAAAATTGTGCTTTTTGTTCCTTCCTTTATAGTTTATTCTACCACGTATCTATACATTCATTCCTTTATATTTCTGAAAAGTACAATTTCAAGTTTATAAAGATATTGCCTGTATATTTTAACAAATATTTTATGGTTTTACCATTCATATTTAAGTTCTTAAATGCATTTCACTTTTGTGCATGGTGTGAGTAGGGGTATCCAGTTATATTTTCTTCTGATAAAAATAACTAATACATTGAAAATCACTTTTCTTCACCTGATCTGTACTATTGGTTCTATCAAATAGTAAATTCCTCTGTATGTAAGAGACTGTTTTAGTACTCAGTATTCAATTACATCAGTCAATTTGCCTGTTTCTTAGAATAATACCACACCATTTTAATTATAATAGTTTATAGTTAGTTTTGATATACCAAGTCCTATCACTTTCTTCTTTTTCTTCATCAGTATCTTGTCTCTTCCATAAAATTTTAAAATCAACTTCATAAGTTTCATGAAATGCTCTCTTAGGATTTTTGATAGATATTACATGCATTCTGTTTTTTACAATATTCTATGTCATGAGTCATGAATCTCTATGTCTCTTCAGGTATTTCAGTTTTCTTTGATGTCTTTCAAAAGTCTTATAATTTCCTACATAAAGAAGATTTTTGGTTATATTTATTTCTGTGTATCTTATGTTTTTTTAATTTCTCATCTTTATTTTCCTGACATATAGAAAACAATTGATCTATGAACTTATTTGATTTTACATGTTGAAACTTTGTTAACTTCTCACCAGTTCTAATAATTCTTAGATTATTTCATCAATGTGAATAACAGTAACAGTTTGGTTTCTCCATTTCTATTTCTTACATTTTTTATTTTTCTCTCTTTTATTGTGCTACCTGAAAACTCCAGTACAACATTAAACAAAAGTTCTAATAAAGAGAAAATATGCTGTGTTTCTTATTTTTAAAAATCCTTTTAATTTTTTTAATACTTTACTATCTTCTGCATTTTTTTGTAGGTGACTTTTAGGTTAAGAAATGTCTTCTATTTCTCACTAGCTTACAGCCTTTAAAATCATAAGTGGATGTTAAATTTTATCAAATTCTTTTTTACCTATTGGGATACAGTAATACACTTTCTATGTGGGGGGTCATTATGCATTTCTTGAGTAAACCTGATTTGTGAAGATATTTTATGCTTTTTATGCATTGCTAACTTTAGTTTTCTAATATTTTGTAGAAACATTTCACATCTAAGTTTATGATCAAAAATTGACCTGTAATTCAGTCCTTGTTTGATGTTGGAATCAATGTTACACCACTAGTACTGTCACTGGTGCTTCTGGTATTACTTTTTATTTGCCAAGGACACTTCTAAATACCGCATATGTAATAGCTCAAGAAGCCCTCACAACAACTATATGAGACAAATACTCTGTTAATATCTCCATTTTACTTATAGGAAAATTAGGGTACACAGAGGACAGGGTAACAAAGCTGGGGTTTAAACTTGGTCTTTGGTACTATAGTTGTGCCATTAATCACTGTGATAATATTAGTTTCACAAAATAATTTGGCAAATTTTCAGAAAAGAGTTAAGATAGTGAGACTCAGGTTGTTCTCCTTAGAAAGATCTGCTTGCTGGGTTGGCCCTTGGCTGGCATCTGGGCACTTGAATGGTAAACTGTCCCTTATGCTGATAATAACTTTGCCTAGATGAATAAGTGCAGCTCACTGTGTCTAAACAATATGGCATATTCTGAACACTTGCTTTCCTTCTGAGAGTCTAGAATTTTGGTATGTGCTAGGCAGATGGTGTCTACAATTAGCCCCCAACAAAACTTTGGGCATTGAGTCTCTAAAGGCCTTTTTTGGTAGACAAAATTTCACAATTTTTGTCACAACTTTCAGTTGCCAAAAGAATTAAGCATGTCCAGCTGGGGAGGGTGGCTCATGCCTGTAATCCCAGCACTTTGGGAGGCCGAGGTGGGAGGATTACCTGAGGTGGGGAGTTCAAGGCCAGCCTGGTCAACATGGTGAAACACCATCTCTACTAAAAATACAAAAATTAGCTGGGTGTGGTAACACACACCTGTAATCCCAGCTACTAATCAAGAGGCTGAAGTGAAAGGATCACTTGAGCTCGGGAAGCGGAGGTTGCAGTGAACAAAGATCTTGCCAATGCCACTGAACACTGCACTTTTAAGAGTGAGACTCCATCTAAAAAAAAAAAAAAGTTAATCACGTCCTATGTGACTCCTCTGGCAAAGGACTCTTGGAAATTAACACCTGGTTTTTCTCTAGATGTCATTCTATGCACCTTTTCCTTTTTTGGATTTTTTTAATCCATTCACAAAAATAAATCACAGCCAGAAATATGACTTTATGCTGAGTCCTGTGAATTTTCCTAGTGAATAACCAAACCTGGGTGTGGTCTTGGGGACCTGCAGACACAGGAAATGTCCCTTCTTTTTTTATTATATGAAAAAGTTGGTGTAAGGTTGGATTGACCTATTATTGAATGATTGATAAAATTTGCCTATAACACTATCTGGTACAACATTTAAAGTTACGTATCAAGTCCTTCACTTAGCAGATGGGAAAAATGATTCTGGAAGCAAATAACTTACCCAAAGTCATATAATTAGTAATAATCAAGATTTGAACTTCTCTACCCGAAAGACTCATGCCCTCATATGTTCATTGCAGGGCTATTCACCGTAGCAAAGACAAGGAATCAACTTCAGTGCTCATCAGTGGTGGATGGGTATAGAAAATGTGGTACATACACACCTTGAAATACTATGCAGCCATAAAAGGAATAAAATCATGTCCTTTGCAACAACATGGATGCAGCTGGAGGCCATTATCCTAAGTGAATTAATGCAGGTACAGAAAACCAAATATCGCATGTTCTCACTTATAAGTGGGAGCTAAACATTGGATATTCATGGACATAAAAATGCCAACAATAGACACTGGGGACTACTAAATGGGATATAGAGGGAGGGAGGCAAGGATTAAAACACTAACTGTTGGGTACTATGCTCACGACCTGGGTGACAAGATCTCAAGCCTGAGCATCATGCAGTATACCCAGGTAACAAACCTGCACATGCACCCCCAAATCTAAAATAAAAGTTCAAATTGTAAAAAAAGATTTGAACCTCATTTTATTTAATTCCAAAACTCATAATCTTCACCTATTCAAGCGTTCAAGTACACCACAGCTTCTAGTTCCAGTTTTACTAAATTTCTACAATGTTAAAGACACAACATAAAATTTAAGGTGAGCTATTTCTCAATTGTCATCATGAAGTAATTAAATTTTAATATACTGAAATTTTGCAACCAGGGAGAAGTTAATGGTTATACAAAAGAAATGTCATGGTATCTTTAACCTTGGTCAATAGGGGCTTCTGTTTTCCAAAATAGTTCCCTGCCTCCCTCATCCCATTTAAGAAGTTAATCCTCCAATCAAAAAAGTTAAAACACATGTTTTGGAATACAAGAACAGCTCCCTCTCAGTAGACCAGGATACAAAGATAATTCAAAACATGAATTCTAAGTTACAGCCTCAAAGCGGCTATGGAAACAAAGTGAGGCTGTTTCTCACGTAACTAAGTCTAATTGTTTAACATCTACATAGTACTTTTAAATTAATGTTGTGAAGCACATACTATGAATCAACCTAAGCTATGTACGGAGATATGCAAAGATGAATTACAGTCTGTGTATTTGAAGACATTGCAGCGTAGAGGAGAAGACAGAGATGTAAACATGTCATGTAAAATACGGGAAGTTTTCTAATAGAAATATGAGGTATATAGCAGTGGAAAGGATTGGTAGCCCTAAGTTTCCAGAGACAATAAGCCTCAAGGGTGAGTAGCTATTAGTAGGTAAAGTACGAAGAAGTGTATTCCAGGCATAAGAAAACAAAGGCTCATGGACGCACTATAATTAGAATATAAACAGAAGCTAAGCCATGGCAAATAAATTTATAGCAACAGGAAAGGCAGGATTAGGAAAGGAAATGCATATTATGGTTTTTATTGTCTAAATACTGAAGCCAATGAAGGTTTTAAGGAGGAAAGCAATATGCTTTTGGAGAGACCATATTCAAAGCAGTGTGACAGATGGATTTTAGATGGGTAAGACTAAAGAGAAGGGGGTTGTAAAGTGTGCTCTCTTTCTCTCTCTCTCTCTATATATATATATGTATGTTTGTGTGTGCATATATATATATACACACACACACACACACACACACACACAATTACAGTCATACACCCACTGACATAGATGAGGCCCTAACATGTCCTTGTACAGTGAATGGAGGAGAGAGGACAAATTTAACAAACAGCAAGAAAGTAAAATTAGTAATTTTAGTGACTGATTGTTCAGGGGAGGGTGGATGAGGAATCTTAGATGACTTTCAAGTTTCTGACTGTGTTGTCCAATGAAAGAGAACAGGAACTGTGAAAGGGAACAGTAGATGAGAATATGTCCAGAGTAGAGGACGTTAAATACATTTATACATATTGCCTTTGAGATGTTCATTAACCATCAAGAGAAGTTGTCTTAGATCCATTTGAATAAATGTGTCTGAAACATAGAGGAAAAACATCTTTTGGGGACCATCAGCGGTAGTGGTTAAAGCCATGAGAGTGGAGGAGAATGCAAGTGAAGAACATGAAGAATGAGAAGTGCCAAGTGCAGAACCCTGGAAACACCCACTTTTAGCCTTGAATTCTAAGGGATGACTAGAGGAAGAACCCACCACAGATTAATCTTTGTAAAATATGTTGACATTGTACAAATTTTCATGTGTGATTGTTAATTATTTTAATACATTTTATGTTGTTGGGTCACCACACAGGACTCTAAAATTTGTTTGCAATTTGTTGTATTGGAAATTAAATATACAAAATGGTATTTCTATTACTTATGCAGAATATCAATAATAATAATAAAATGAACCCTGCATACTTCTTACCCAGTTTAATAAATGAAACTTTACCATTCCTTTGAAACCTATGTTCCCATACCAATTCCCTTCCCCAAGATTCCCTACACCTAGAGGTAACTGATATGATACATTTTGTTTGCTATTTCCTTGATTTCCCCTTAATTCCACTATCTATGAATGTAGTAGAGAGAATACAGTTAGATTTTAAAACTGATTTTGAACTTCACTTAATGAAATCACATTATATATTCTTCAGAGTCTTGACTTTCTTACCCTCAACATTATGTTTTTGAGATTCTCTGTTGAGATATTTTCTACAGTAGATTTTATAAATCAATATACCACATTTTATGCATGTATTTTTAACACAAATGTACATTGGGTTATTTCTCTTTTTTTATCTTTTATTTGTTTCAGTGAATGTTTTGGCTCCCACCTCCGGTGTAAGAGTAAGCTCTTCCTTAGAACATATCACTAGGAGGGGAACTGCTGAGCAGTAGCAATGCCTATATTCTATTTTCTTATATAATGCCAAATTATTTTCCAAAATTGTTATGACAATTATTGCTCCCACTAGAAATGTTTAAGAATTGTTTCCCTGTGTATTTTCTCCAAATCCTGAAAATGTCAAAATTTAAAACTTTTGCCAATCCAGTAGTTATAAAATGATATCTCTGATTTTAATTTATGTTTCTATATTAATAGTCAGTAGTTTTTATATTAAAAGTAATGGCAAAAACCGCAATTACTTTTGCACCAACCTAACACATTTATTAGTCCATTCTGTTTATGGAATGTTTTTATGTGTTGAAAATATATTTTCTCAGCTGGTGGCTTGTCTTTTTATGCTCTTTATCATACCTTATGATAAAGAAGTGTATCATCCCTTATAATTAATAGAATTCCTTATTTTTCAGTATTTTTTTTATTAGTAGTGCTTTTGTTTAATCAATCCTGCTCTCCCTGGAGTACATATTTCCTCAGTAAAGGGAGTGATTAAATCTTAAGCTAACATCTATATTATCTTTTTTTATTCTCAAATTAATCTTTTTTTTAAAAAAACACACATGGAGATAGCATTTTTAACTATAGTTTTTTTTAAGTTTTTTATTTCCATACTTCTGTAAGTTTTTATTTTTGCCTTTCACATTTAAATATTCAGTGTATTCAGGATGGGCTTTTTCTAATTTTCTAAGTGCTCAAATACACCTAGATGAGACCAGAGTAGCCCACTATTTGCACAACACAAATATTGATTATTATAGAACTGCCTTTCATTTTTTAGGATAAAGACTTTGGAATTAACGTTTAGACCATGGGCATCCACCAGTGATATCTGAGCAAGAAAGAGACATAATTGAAAAATGACAATTGAGAATGATTTATCTGTAATATTTCATAGAGGATGAGAAGCCATAGGAAACACTATTAGAAAAAGTAAATAATGGGTGATGAGTGAACACACAGAATCCGATTGTCAAATCAGAACCCCATGAATCATAAATTTTACACAGTACCAAGCTTAAAAAATAATATCAAAGATACAAGCAATCAAAGAGCCCAGAGGAAAGAGGGAGCCATCTGGGATGTCAAGGGGAACTATTCATGTCCTTCCCTCTGTCCTGGAATAGGTGAGGTCTTTATGTGAGGGGCACATGATCATCTCACATGCTAGCAGCATTTAATTACAAAACACCTCCGTTTTATACTCCAGAGAGTTATGTTGTCTACCTGATATCTCCAGAAAGCCATATTCATAGATCTGCGGTTCCACTTGCTATAGATAATGCTTTGCCAAGAACATTCTGCCAAAAGCATTTCAAAGATAAAGCTTCTTCTTCCTAGCAAATATTGTTAGTCTCCTTATCCAGAAGTACAATTATGAAGGAGATTGAACAGGGGGCACTGGCCTTTTTTTTCCCTCATTCTCTACAGTGCTTGGATGATGTAGCTCCCAAATCTTTTTTATTTTATTTTATTTTATTTTATTTTATTTTATTATTATACTTTAAGTTCTAGGGTACATGTTCACAACGTGCAGGTTTGATACATATGTATACATGTGCCATATTTGTTTGCTGCACCCATCAACTCATCATTTACATTAGGTATTTCTCCTAATGCTAACCCTCCCCCAGTCCTCCACCGCCTGACAGGCCCTGGTGTGTGATGTTCCCTGCTCTGTGTCCAAGTGATCTCATTGTTCAATTCCCACCTATGAGTCAGAACATGCAGTGTTTGGTTTTCTGTCCTTGTGACAGTTTCCTAAGAATGATGGTTTCCAGCTTCATCCATGTCCCTGCAAAGGACATGAACACATCCTTTTGATGGTTGCATAGTATTCCATGGTATATATGTGCCACATTTTCTTAATCCAGTCTATCATTGATGGACATTTGGGTTTGGTCCAAGTCTTTGCTATTGTGAATAGTGCCACAGTAAAAATACATGTGCATGTGTCTTTATAGTAGCATGATTTATAATGCTTTGGGTATATACCCAATAATGAGATTACTGGATCAAATGGTAATTCTAGTTCTAGATCCTTGAGGAATCTCCACACTGTCTTCCACAGTGGTTGAACTAATTTACACTCCCACCAACAGTGTAAAAGCATTCCTATTTCTCCACATCATCTCCAGCATCTGCTGTTTCCTGACTTTTTAATGATTGCTATTCTAACTGGCATGAGATGGTATCTCATTGTGGTTTTGATTTGCATTTCTCTGATGACCAGTGATGATGAACATTTTTTAATGTGTCTGTTGGCTGCATAGATATCTTCTTTTGAGAAGTGTCTGTTTATATCCTTTGCCCACTTTTTGATGGGATTGTTGTTTTTTTCTTGTAAATTTGTTTGAGTCCTTTGTGGATTGTGGATATTAGGCCTTTGTCAGATGGGTAGGTTGCAAATATTGTCTTCCATTCTGTAGGTTGCCTGTTCACACTGATGGTAGTTTCTTTTGCCATGCAGAAGCTCTTTGGTTTAATTAGATTCCATTTGTCTATTTTGGCTTTTGTTGCCATTGCTTTTGGTGTTTTAGTCATGAATTCGTTGCCCATGCCTATGTCCTGAGTGGTATTGCCTGGGTTTTCTTCTATGGCTTTTGTGGTTTTAGGTCTAAAATTTAAGTCTTTAATCCATCTTGAATTAATTTTTATATAAAGTGTAAAGAAGGGATCCAGTTTCAGCTTTCTACATATGGCTAGCCAGTTTTCGCAGCACCATTTATTAAATAGACAGTCTTTCTCCATTTCTTGTTTTTGTCAGGTTTGTCAAAGATCAGATGTTTGTAGATGTGTGATGTTATTTCTGAGGCCTCTGTTCTGTTCCATTGGTCTATATATCTGTGTTGGTACCAGTACCATGCTGTTTTGGTTACTGTAGCCTTGTAGTATAGTTTGAAGTCAGGTAGTGTGATGCCTCCAGTTTTGTTCTTTTGGATTAGGATTGTCTTGGCAATGTGGGCTCTTTTTTGGTTCCATATGAACTTTAAAGTCATTTTTTTTTTTCAATTCTGTGAAGAAAGTCATTGGTAGCTTGATGGGGATGGCATCAAATCTATAAATTACTTTGAGCATTATGGCCATTTTCATGATATTGATTCTTCCTATCCATGAGCATGGAATGGTCTTCCATTTGTTTGTGTCCTCTTTGATTTTGTTGAGCAGTGGTTTGTAGTTCTCCTTGAAGAGGCCCTTCACATCCCTTGTAAGTTGGATTCCTAGGTATTTTATTCTCTTTGAAGCAATTGTGAATGGGAGTTAACTCATGATTTGGCTCTCTGTTTGTCTGTTATTGGTGTATAAGAATGCTTGTGATTTTTGCACATTGATTTTGTATCCTGACACTTTGCTGAAGTTGCTTATCAGCTTAAGGAGATTTTGGGCTGAGATAATGGGGTTTTCTAAATATACAATCATGTCATCTGCAAACAGGGACAATTTGACTTCCTCTTTTCCTAATTGAATACCCTTTATTTCTTTCTCTATATTGATTGCCCTAGCCAGAACTTCCAAAACTATGTTGAATAGGAGTGGTGAGAGAGGGCATCCTCATCTTGTGCTGGTTTTCAAAGTGAATGCTTCCAGTTTTTACCCATTCAGTATGATATTGGCTGTGGGTTTGTCATAAATAGCTCTTATTATTTTGAGATACATTCTATCAGTACCTAGTTTATTGAGAATTTTTAGCATAAATGGCTGTTGAGTTTTGTCAAAGATCTTTTCTGCATCTATTGAGATAATCATGTGGTTTTTGTTGTTGGTTCTGTTTATGTGATGGATTACGTTTATTGATTTGCATATGTTGAACCAGCATTGCATCCCAGGGATGGAGCTGACTTGATTGTGGTGGATAAGCTTTTTGATATGCTGCTGGATTCAGTTTGCCAGAATTTTATTGAGGTTTTTCGCCTCGATGTCCATCATGGATATTGGTCTAAAATTCTCTTTTTTTGTTGTGTCTCTGCCAGGCTTTGGTATCAGGATGATGTTGGCTTCATAAAATGAGTTAGGGAGAATTCACTCTTTTTCTATTGATTGGAATAGTTTTAGAAGGGATGGTATGAGCTCCTCTTTGTACCTCTGATAGAATTTAGCTGTTAATCCATCTGGTCCTGGACTTTATTTGGTTGTTAGGCTGTTAATTATTGCCTCAATTTCAGAGCCTGTTATTGGTCTATTCAGAGATTCAACTTCTTCCTGGTTTAGTCTCAAGAGGGTGTATGTGTCCAGGAATTTATCCATTTCTTCTAGATTTTCTAGTTTATTTACATAGAGGGGTTTATAGTATTCTCTGACGGTAGTTTGTATTTCTGTGGGATCAGTGGTGATATCCCCTTTATCATTTTTTATTGCGTCTATTTGATTCTTCTCTCTTTTCTTCTTTATTAGTCTTGCTAGCTGTCTATCAAATTTGTTGATCTTTTAAAAAAACCAGCACCTAGATTCATTGATTTTTTGAAGGTTTTTTTTGTGACTCTATCTCTTTCAGTTCTGATCTGATCTTAATTATTTCTTGCCTTCTGCTAGCATTTGAATGTGTTTGCCCTTGCTTCTTTAGTTCTTTTAATTATGATGTTAGGTATTGATTTTAGATCTTTCCTGCTTTCTCTTGTGGGCATTTAGTGCTATAAATTTCCCTCTATACACTGCTTTAAATGTGTCCCAGAGATTCTGATATGTTGTGTCTTTGTTCTCATTGGTTTCAAAGAACATCTTTATTTCTGCCTTCATTTTGTTATTTACCCAGTAGTCATTCCAGAGCAAGTTGTTCAGTTTCCAGGTAGTTGTGCAGTTTTGAGTGAGTTTCTTAATCCTGAGTTCTAATTTGATTGCACTATGGTCTGAGAGATGGTTTGTTGTGATTTCTGTTCTTTTACATTTGCTGAGGAGTGCTTTACTTCCAACTATGTGGTCAATTTTCAGTGCGATGTGGTGCTGAGAAGAATGTATATTCTGTTGATTTGGGGTGGAGAGTTCTTTAGATGTCTATTAGGTCTGCTTGTTGCAGAGCTGAGTTCAGGTTCTGGACATCCTTGTTAACCTTCTGTCTCATTGATCTGTCAAATAGTGACAGTAGGGTGTTAAATCTCCATTTTTATTGTGTGGGCGTCTAAGTCTCTTTGTAGTTCTCTAAGGACTTGCTTTATGACTCTGGGTGCTCCTGTATTGGGTGCATATATATTTAGTATGGTTAACTCTTTTTGTTGAGTTGATCCCTTTACCATTATGTAGTGGCCTTCTTTGTCTGTTTCGATCTTTGTTGGTTTGAAGTCTATTTTATCAGAGAGTAGAATTACAACCCCTGCTTTTTTTTTGCTTTCCATTTGCTTAGTAGATCTTCCTCTATCCCTTTATTTTGAGCCTTTGTGCATCTTTGCACATGAAATGAGTCTCCTCAATACAGCACAGTGATGAGTCTTGACTCTTTATCCAATTTGCCAGTTGTGTCTTTTAATTGGGGCATTTAGCCCATCTACATTTAAGGTTAATATTGCTGTGTGTGAATTTGATCCTGTCATTATGATGTTTGCTGGTTATTTTGCCAGTTAATTGATGCAGTCTCTTCATAGCATCAATGGTCTTTACAATTTGGCCTGTTTTTCCAGTGGCTGATACCAGTTATTTCTTTCCATGTTTAGGGCTTCCTTCAGGACCTCTTGTAAGGCAGGCCTGGTAGTGACAAAACCTCTCAGCATTTGCTTGTCTGTAAAGGATTTTATTTCTCTTTCACTTACGAAGCTTAGTTTGGCTGGATATGAGATTATGGGTTGAAAATTCTTTTCTTTAAGAATGTTGAATATCAGCCCCCACTCTCTTCTGGCTTGTAGGGTTTCTGCTGAGAGATGTGCTGTTAGTCTGATGGGCTTCCCTTTGTGGGTAACTTGACTTTTCTCTCTTGTTGCCCTTAACACTTTTTCTTTCATTTCAACTTTGGTGAATCTGATAATTATGCGTCTTGGGGTTGCTCTTCTCGAGGAGTATCTTTGTGGTGTTCTCTGTATTTCCTGAATTTGAATGTCGGCCTGCCTTGCTATGTTGAGGAAGTTCTCCTGGATAATATCTTGAAGAGTGTTTTCCAGCTTGGTTCCATTCTCCCCATCACTTTCAGGTACACCAATCAAATGTAGATTTGGTCTTTTCACATAGTCCCATATTTCTTGGAGGCTTTTTTCATCTCTTTCTACTCTTTTTTCTCTAACCTTGTCTTCTCACTTTATTTCATTAATTTGATCTTCAATCACTGATACCCTTTCTTCCACTTTATCAAATCGGCTATTGAAGCTTGTGCATGTGTCACAAAGTTCTCGTGTCATGGTTTTCAGCTCCATCAGGTCATTTAAGGTCTTCTCTACACTGTTGATTCTAGTTAGCCATTCATCTAATATTTTTTTCAAGGGTTTTAGCTTCCTTGCATTGGGTTTGAATGTCCTCCTTTAGCTCAGAGAAGTTTGTTATTACCAACCTTCTGAAGCCTACTTCTGTCGACTCATCAAAGTCATTCTCATTCCAGCTTTGTTCCACTGGGGGCAAGGAGCTTCAATCTTTTGGAGGAGAAAATGCGCTCCAATTTTTAGAATTCTCATCTTTTCTGCTCTGGTTTCTCCCCATCTTTTTGTTTTTATCTACCTTTGGTCTTTGATGTTGGTGACCTACAGGTGGGGTTTTGGTGTAGATTACCTTTTTGTTGATGTTGATGCTATTCCTTTCTGTTTCTTAGTTTTCCTTCTAACAGTCAGGTCCCTCAGCTGCAGGTCTGTTGGAGTTTGCTGGAGTTCCACTCCAGACCCTGTTTGCCTGGGTATAACCAGTGGAGGCTGCAGAACAGCAAATATTGCTGCCTGACCTTTCCTCTGGAAGCTTCATCTCAGAGGGGCACCCACCTATATGAGGTGTCTGTTGGCCCCTACTGGGAGGTGTCTCCAAGTTAGGCTACACGGGTATCAGGGACCCACTTGAGGAGGCAGTGTGTCTGTTCTCAGAGCTCAAATGCCATGCTAGGAGAACCACTGATCTCTTCAGAGCTGTCAGACAGGGACGTTTAAGTCTGCAGAAGTTATCTGCTGCCTTTTGTTCAGCTATGCCCTGCCCACAGAGATGGAGTCCAGAGGCAGTAGGCCTTGTTGAGCTGTGGTGGGCTCTGGCCAGTTCGAGGTTCCCAGCTGCTTTGTTTACCTACTCAAGCCTCAGCAATGGTGGAAGCCCCTCCCCCAGCCAGGCTGCAGTCTCACAGATCAATCTCAGTCTGCTGTGCTAGCAGTTAGCAAGCCTTTTGGATGTGGGAGCCACTGAGCCAGGCATGGGAGAGAATCACCTTGTCTGCCAGTTGCTAAGACCTTGGGAAAAATGCAGTGTTTGGGTGGGAGTGTCCTGTTTTTCCAGGTAGTCTGTCACAGCTTCCCTTGCCTAGGAAAGGGAAATCTCCCCCACCCCTTGTGCTTCCTGGGTGAGGTGATACCCTGCCCTGCTTCGGCTAACCCTCTGGGTTGCACTCACTGTCCAATGAGTCCCAGTGAGATGAACCAGGTAACTCAGTTGGAAATGCAGAAATCACCTGTCTTCTGTGTCAATCACCTTGGGAGCTGCAGACCGGAGCTGTTCCTATTCGGCCATCTTGGAACACCCCCGGCACTGGCCTTTTTAATTATACCTGCCTGGAGTATATCTCCAGGAAAAAAACATAAGCAGATCACAAGTCATATGTTTTAACTTCTTTCCCTCAGGTGGTAAAAGTTGGAATAGAAAGAAGGAAAAGTATTTGAAAAGGGGAGATAAATAAACATTGTAAACAGAGGATTTCCTTCTAGGGTTATAACTAGGTTAATTTGGAGAGTGATAAGCTGCCCAATAAAAATTTTAAACAACTTGAGGGACATAACTGCTCTTGGATTAGATGCATGCTGTGTTTAAACATGTCCAGTTAAAAGACATGGTGGTCTTGAAAACAAAAATATTCAGTAGACAGTAAAAAAGAAAGGCCAAAGTTAAAGCTATAGATTGTGTATTCTGAAAACTTAAAACTCATGGCTGGATTATTTTTTTTGAGTAACTCAATGAAGAACATGGGGCAGGGCAGAGATGAGGTATAGGGAGCAAAGGACTGAATCTTTGACAATTCTGTTTTTGTTTTCACACTGATGTTTCCTCTAAATGTTAAAGTTTCTGGTAGGCCTGGGAAAACCAGGTTACTAAGTATCAAAAATCCAGGGATTTGGGCTGGGTGCAGTGGCTTACACCTGTAATCTCAGCACTTTGGGAGGCCAAGGCCGGTGGATCATGAAGTCAGGAGATCGAGACCATCCTGGCTAATATGAAGAAACCCCGTCTCTACTAAAAATACAAAAAATTAGCCAGGCATGCTGATGGGCGCCTGTAGTCCCAGCTACATGGGAGGCTGAGGCAGGAGAATGGCATGAACCTGGGAGGCGGAGCATGCAGTGAGCCAAGATAGTGCCACTGCACTCCAGCCTGGGTGACAAAGTGAGACTCTGACTCAAAAAACAAACAAACATACAAACAAAACCCAGGGATTTATAAATATAAAAAGAAGAAAGAAATATCCAGAAACAAGGAAGTCAAAGAAAGAAGGGCTCAAAAGAGACAATTGAATAAGTTTATTTGAAAGAAATTTTTGGATATCCAAATGAGCATATATCATTGTATGTAGTGGGCTCAATGGTGGCCTCCAAAAGATATGCTCATGTCCTAATCCCCACAACCTGAAAATATTACTTTATGTAGTAAAAGAGTGAATATTTCCTAATATGAGAGATGTGATTAACTTAATAATCTTGAGGGGAGAATTTTATCCTAGGTTACTTAGGTAGGCCTTAAATATACAGTAAGTATCTTTATAAAAGTGAAGCAGAGAAATATTTGACAGACAGAAGAGAAGGAGGCAGAGATTGGAGTGACGTGGCCATAGTAAAGGAAAAATGACAGTCACCAATAGCTAGAAGAGGCAAAGAACATGTTCTCCTTTGAGGCTCCAGAGGAATGCTAACATGCTGGTGATCCTTCATTTCCGACTTCTGGCCACCCAAGAATACATTTCCATTGTTTTAAGCCACCCAGTTGTATTAATTTGAAGTCAAATATACAGTATAGCTAAAAAAGTCTTCTTTAAATGGAAATAAATACTTAATGTGAAAGTGGAGATAACACATATGTCATTTTAGCTGTTCTCTAAGAATGTTCTGCTTTTTTCATAGGATTGGATTCAGTTCCTGTCTCCAGTAGGGATGTTGCACAGAGAATTTTGGGCCCTTTATACCACTTAAAAAGGATAGATTACATAGGTCTTAGAGGAATAAACTATCAGTATGAATGTTTTGAAATTTTCTTTTTTTTGTTTGTTTCCTGTTTCTATTTTTTCTTTTTTTTTTTTTTTTTTTTTTTTTTAGTATTTATTGATCATTCTTGCAGTTTCTCAGAGAGGGGGATGTGGCAGGGTCATAGGATAATAGTGGAGAGAAGGTCAGCAGATAAGCACGAGAACAAAGGTCTCTGGTTTTCCTAGGCAGAGGTCCCTGCGGCCTTCGGCCCTGTTTGTGTCCCTGGGTACTTGTGATTAGGGAGTGGTGATGACACTTAACGAGCATGCTGTCTTCAAGCATCTGTTTAACAAAGCACATCTTGCACCGTCCTTAATCCATTTAGCCCTGAGTTGACACAGCACATGTTTCAGAAAGCAGGGGGTTGGGGGTAAGGTTATAGATTAACGGCATCCCAAGGCAGAAGAATTTTTCTTAGTACAGAACAAAATGGAGTCTCCTATGTCTACTTCTTTCTACACAGACACAGTAACAATCTGATCTCTCTTTCTTTTCCCCACATTTCCCCCTTTTCTTTTCGACAAAACCACCATCGTCATCATGGCCCGTTCTCCATGGTCGCTGTCTCTTCAGAGCTGTTGGATACACTTCCCAGATGGGGCGGCCTGGCAGAGGCGCTCCTCACCTCCCAGATGGGGTGGTGGCTGGGCAGAGGCGCTCCTCACATCCCAGATGATGGGCGGCCGGGCAGAGGCACTCCCCACCTCCCAGATGGGGCAGCCGGGCAGAGGCGCCCCCCACTTCCCAGACGGGGCAGCCGGGAAGAGGCGCTCCTCACCTCCCAGACAGGGCGGCCAGGCAGAGGTGCTCCCCACATCCCAGATGGGGCGGCCGGGCAGAGGCACTCCTCACCTCCCAGACGATGGGCGGCCGGGCAGAGGTGCTCCCCACCTCCCAGATGGGGCAGCCGGGCAGAGACGCCCCTCACCTCCCAGATGGGGTGGCCGGGCAGAGGCGCACACTTCCCCAATGGGGCAGCCGGGCAGAGGTGCTCCCCACCTCCCAGACGAAGGACGGCTGGGCAGAGGCGCTCCTCACTTCCCAGGCGGGGCAGCCGGGCAGAGGCGCTCCTCACCTCCCAGACAGGGCGGCCGGGCAGAGATGCCCCTCGCCTCCCAGATGGGGTGGCCAGGCAGACATGCCCCTCACTTCTCAGATGGGGTGGCAGCCGGGCAGAGGCGCTCCTCACTTCACAGACAAGGCAGATGGGCAGAGGCTCTCCTCGCTTCCCAGACGGGGTGGCAGCCAGGCAGAGATGCTCCTCACCTCCCAGACGGAGTGGCGGCCAGGCAGAGGTGCTCCTCATCTCCCAGATGGGGCGGCCGGGCAGAGGCACTCCTCACTTCCCAGACGGGGCGGCCGGGCATGGACGCTCCTCACATCCCAGACGGGGCTGCCGGGCAGAGGCGCTCCTCACTTCCCAGACAGGGCGGCCAGGCAGAGGGGCTCCCCACATCCCAGATGATGGGCGGCCATGCAGAGACGCTCCCCACTTCCCAGATGGGGTGGCGGCCAGGCAGAGGCTGTAATCTTAGTACTTTGGGAGGCCAAGGCAGGCGGCTGGAAGGTGGAGGTTGCAGCAAGCCGAGATCATGCCACTGCACTCCAGCCTGGGCAACACTGAGCATTGAGTGAGCGAGACTCCTTCTATAATCCCAGCACCCCGGGAGGCTGAGGTGGGCAGACCACTCGAGGTCAGGAGCCGGAGACCAGCCCGGTCAACAGGGCAAAACCCTGTCTCCTCCAGAAATACAAAAACCAGTCAGGCGTGGTGGCGTGCGCCCGCAATCCCAGGCACTCGGCAGGCTGAGGCAGGAGAATCAGGGGAGCCGGGGCAGGGAGGCTGCAGCGAGCCGAGACCACGGCAGTACAGTCCAGCCTCGGCAACAGAGGGAGACCGAAGAAGGAGAGGGGGAGGGGGAGTGGGAGGGGGAGGGAGAGCTGTTTTGAAATTTTCTATGTTCTCTATAAGGAATAAAGAATCTGCAGAGAGGAAAATCACATTTGAGGAAGAGGATTTTCTAATGTTGACAGCCAGAGTCAATGAGCAAACATGAACTTGAGTGATGTTGGGTTGGTTTTATTAGCTGTGTCCCAGGTCAAACAGAGACAATCAAGAGTGAAGAGAACGTGGTCTCAGAACAGTCCTAGATTTTTAATAAATAGTGAGAAGGAGTGGAAAAATAGAACACTATAGCCTGTGACAACATTAATCTTCCTCTCCTGAAAAAGAGAAGGACAATTCATCACTTTATGCATTGCTTTTGTACTTTTTTGATGTTTAACCACCTCAGATCATTTGCTTGATTTAATTATCTTTATTGGTTTAGATAACATTTTACTACTTACGGATTGTTATTCTACTAAGCTTCACTTCACCAAGCTAAGAGTAAAAATATCTGTAATTTTATAGAAAAAGCAGTTGTATATTTTGCTCAATTTAGCAAAATAATAATTTAGATAGTCTTGTGTGGATCCTACTGTAAGCAGCAAAAGGCAGAAGCAACTCCTTTACAGTGGGATGGTATTTTCATTATCAGCCAGATGAACACACTGAAAGTTTTCTCTTGCTAGAAGGGAAGTTATAATGGCCCATGTGTTAGAGAGTACTTATTTGCTGTAAAAAGGCACTTGTGGTTGATTAAACACATCAGCTTCATTTTGCATTTAATCAAATGCAGAGGCCATTTATTACTCTGAATACTTCAGTATCCTGGATATAAGACCTTGATTAATTTACACTAGCTAATTGAAGAGCATTTCAGGTGCAACTAATTATAACAGAATAAATTTTACTCCTAGACTCCACTCCAAAAATTTCTTAATATATGAGCATTAATGAGAACTGATGTCCATCCAGGAAGGCCATGCTGTATTTGATTTGGATAATCAACTTGCAGCCATCTATAGTTTAAAACTAACATTCAACATAATCTATATCATCATTTTCTTCTGATGTTCATAGATGCTCAACATTTTGTGTTTTCTAAAAATATGCACAATTCTGATGTTTTAAAATAAGATAAAAGAGTATTTGACAGTACATTTATTTTGTTCTCAAAATACAGTAGCAGTCTCATTTCATTTTTAATGCTATAAAATGAAGGTAATTTCTTTTATTCCTTCAAACTGCAGTTGTGAAGGAATCTTTGGCCTTCTACAAATCTTTGGCCTTCTACATTTAGTGTATTCTTTCTTTAAAAATGAACTTTCTACCAATTTTGCTAATATATAGTACAGCTGGCACTTAATAAGAATTAAGCAGATAAAGTATGTACATTTAAAAGGGAAATTTGGGAAAGAGATGTCACTTTAAATTATTATATTAGGCTATTTTCAATACTGTGTCTTGGAATTATGCACCACCCATACTTTAGGGACTTCTCTTACAAAGATAGGATGTAGTATGTGGAAAACTAAATAATACAAATAAAGCTACATATAGAGTCAGGATAAAGCTAACAAATTTTATCATCATGATGACTGTATTTTATCATAAAAAATTTATTGACCATATTTATTGAACACTGTGAAGATTAAAAGGAAAAAATGAAGTATGTTAAATAGGCTATTGAATTTTCAAGTAAATGAAGTATGCTAAATAAGAAATTGAATTTCAAGAGAAGTACTACAGGAAAATGATTTGTGTGTATGGATGTATATAGCTAAATCTTTTCTTCAAAAAATATGTCCATGGCTACTCATATCTAAATAGACATCTTAATCTCAGCCCTTGGAAGAAATTGAATTCAAATTAAATCTGATCATCTAGAAATAGCAAAGAGTAACTGCTTTTAGAGGTTAAGATAAATTCCAATAATTAAATATCTCTAGAATCTAAATTATGGCACATGTTGAAGCTGCTTATTCTATATTTAGGCTCGTATCTGATACTATGTCAAAGTTAAATTCCTGACTTCTTAATCACTTCTAACATTTTCCCTCTTTCATTTTTTCTGAAGACCTCAGTATGTCAGTGGATGATACTGTTGTTTGCTTAGCCAAAGCCAATCCTTTTACTTCCTTGCTATGGAAACTCTCTCTTATTTGGGTGGCAGTGTGTCCAGTGCCAGGGGATAAAGCACTGTGTGTCTATTTCAGTCATTATAATTTCCTTTTTTCCATGCTTGGTCTAGGTGTGGAGATGCAACTTGATTTCTGACCAAATAGATTTAAGGATAAGGCTGATGGGAGATGTATTAGGTAACTCTTGCTGCGTAACAGACCTCTCTTAAATGTAGTGGCTTTAAAAAACTAAACATTTATTTAACTTATGGTTTTATGATTTGACTGGGTGTTTCTTCTGGTGAAGATTGGCTCCACTGATATGGCCTGGGCTTGCTCATGATTCTGTGTTCACATGGCAGGTGGGCGGGTGGTTGTATGATCTAGCATGACCACATTCACATGTCTAGTGTTTGGCAATCTGTCAACCAGGGCAAAATGAATAATTAGGCCCCATGTCTCTCACCATCCAGCAGACTAGGGCAGGCATTTTCACATGACAATTGTAATATTTAATAAACCAGGAGTTGAAATGTGCAAGTTTCTTGAGGTCCAGCCTTGAAACTCTAACAGCATCACATATGTGCATTACATTGACCAAAGCAAACCACAGATAGCACAAATTTTTGGATCGGGGAAATAGGGTCCATCTCTTGATAGAAGGAACTGCAGTGAACTGTGGCCATTTTTACCATCCACCACAGGAGGATGCCTCTGGGAAGATATTTTTTCTTTTCTGTTTGAAAGAGTTACTCAAGTGAAAAAATTATGTTCTACTTCACCTCTTTCTTATTGCTTTCAAATGTCTTAGGACTTGATGGTTGGAGCCATCACCATAAGGAGAAGGCCAAGAGAACCTCAGATATGTGACACCAGGACCACAATATTATTGAATAGTTGAGTATCACTGGATCCTCCAACCTCTAGATTTTTAAGTAAAAGACTAAGTGCAGCATTTAAGCCAGATTAAACAAGCATTTTATTGCTTTTGGCAACCAGGAGTGAGATGGTATAATACAAGCATTATAATTGACATTAGAAAATGAGTCTAAGCTAAAATGATTCTATCAAAACCAACTAGATGGGAGCTTTTTGCTCTGCCACATTGTGTAGTTCCTGATCTCATCCTGTCCTTTCATGTGAGAATAAGCACCTTCCTCATATCAGGAAGATTACAGATTACAAGTGTTTCCCATTACAGCTGAATGTACTGCCTCCATTCGTTTTCGACAGTTTGATTGCATGTGATTAAAAACAATGTGTAGGCTGGGTGTGGTGGCTCATGCCTGTAATCCCAGCACTTTGGGAGGCTGAGGCAGGAGGATCACTTGAGGACAGGAGTTCAAGACCAGCCTGGCCAACATGGTGAAACCCCATCTCTACTAAAAATACAAAAATTAGCCCGGCATGGTGATGGGCACCTGTCATCCCAGCTTCTAGGGAGGCTGAGGCAGGAGAATTGCTTGAACCCAGGAGGCCGAGGTTGCAGTGAGCTGAGATCATGCCATTGCACCTCCAGCCTGGGCGACAGAGCAAGACTCTGTCTTGGAAAAAAAAATGTTTATTTTTTCTTCAAATTTTCTTTACATGTATCCTAAATATTGTTTATTAACTGTTTTCAAACAGTTATATAGTATATGACTGTTATATACTATATTTGTTATTTATATATAACATTTATATATAACAAATATACTATGTAACAGTCATATACTATATAACTGTTATTTATATATAACAAATATACTATATATTTATATCGTATGTATATTATATATATAGTATATTTGTTATGTAGTAACAAATGTTATTGTCTCGTTTACTGAGAAGATATATTAAAATATCCTATTGCAATTATGGATCAAATCGGGCTTATAACTGCCAAGGTATTTGTTCAACATTGGGAGTCAATATTACACGAGCATACAACTTTAGACATTTTTTTCTCTCATGTAAATTTTTCTTTTTATGCTTCCATAGTTACATTTTTTTATTTTGATAGCAATTTCTCATTCATTTATAGTACAGAAAGTTAAATCATGTTGTAGTGAGTGACCTCTTGCAAAAGACCAACGGAACCATACCTTTTGTCAAAAAGGTTGTAATAAATTCTGGTAATAAATACATGGTCTTAGACAATACAAAAGAGAAGAAAAGAAAATTAGTTTGCAAAGTGGAATACTATGTTTATGTTCTGCAAACTTAGTACTATTTTCGTTGAAAGTGTGTTTCATTCTATTGCTGCCATACTGAAAATAAACATTTTATATTTAATCCTTCCAATTATAGACAAGCCAAGAATTTTTATAGTAGCTTGTTTTCTTATAGAAATACACATACTCTCAGCTTCTTTGCAATAGACATTGTCTTAGTTTTATCAAAATTTTATATCAATTTTATTAAAGATATTATTTTAAAGAAATTAAATTTGAGTTTACATATTTTTTATATTTATTTTTTTCTTGGATGCAGAGTTATTTGATTTTTCCCCAATATACCTCTTATCTGATGAAGGAGAACCTATATAAAAATTATTGGGCTGAATGCTTTAATACTACCAAATAATGCTTCAATAATGCCAATGAATGATAAAATTCCCTTGTACGAGGCACAGCTTCAATCAAAACTTACAAAGCAAAGATATATCAAGTTAAAATAAAAGTGGTATGCTTTAGTAAGTTGTGGAAAATTTTATGTAGAGTTACACGTGTTATACAATATCACAACACTTTATCATAGCATCCTAGCATACTTGACTTTCTTGTTCCCTTCTCTTTACTGATAATTAGTTAGGCTAGTTAAGTAATCATAGAGAAGATGATTCATTTCTCTGTTTCTTAATTTCTGTGTTGGTAAAATGAGCGATTGATAGAAATGATTGTGATGGTTGTTCAAACTATAAGATTCTGTGATTATAAAAACCTTTCTACTACTCTGTTTGGACAAATGTGTTAATCTCTTTTTTTGTCTTAACATCCAATTCCTACCTGTCTTTTCTATGGCAGCCTGTAGTAGTCCATTTTCATACAGCTATAAAAAACTGCCCAAGACTGAGTAATTTATAAAGGAAACAGGGTTGACTCGGAGTTCAGCATGGCTGGGGAGGCCTCAGGAAACTTATAATCATGGCAGAAGGTGAAGGGGAAGCAAGGTACCTTCTTCACAAGATGGCAGGAAGATGAAGAGTAAGCAAGTGAAGGGGGAAGAGTCCCTTATAAAACCATCAGATCTCGTGAGTACTCACTCACTATTATGAGAACAGCATGGGGGAAGCCATCCCCATGATTCAATTACCTCCACCTTGTTTCTCCTTTGACATGTGGGATTATGGGGATTTGGGGGATTACAATTCAAGATAAGATTTGGGTGGGGCCGCAAAGCCTAATAAGTATATAATACATAGAGGCATACAATGGCCTGGTTCATCTAGGGATAGGCAAGCAGGTCAAGTTGGCTAGATTTGGGAGATGATGTTGAAAGAGATCAAGCCATGATATAATTTATAATGTAAATAAATTTAAACTTTCCTCTTTCCCACTACAATATCTTTAAGATATCACAATCAGAGCTTGATACTGCCTCTATGCGTAATTGTTCGAATGCATGTGAGTCTTTTCTAATAAACTGTGAGCTTTTTGAAGGCTGAGTCCTTGTCATGGTCACTATTGTGTTTTCATTGTCTGCTCACATGAGATGGCCTCATGATTTGTCAATTTAAAAAATTAGAAATTTGTTTTTTCAAAGTAACCACTTTTTAAAAAAATATTTACTATTATTATTAGTAGTAGTTTATTTCAATAGGTTTTTGGGGAACAGGTGGTGTTTGGTCATGGGAATAAGTTCTTTAGTGGTGATTTCTGAGATTTTGGTGTACCCATAACCCGAGCACTGTTGTTTGTGCCCAAGGTATTGTCTTTTATCCCTCACCCCAGTCTCACCTTTTCCCCTGAGTCCCCAAAGTCCTTTGTATCATTTTTTTTTTTTTTTTCTGAGATGGAGTTTTGCTCTTGTTGCCCAGGCTGGAGTGCAATGGTGCCATCTCTGCTCATTGCAACCTCCACCTGCTGGATTCAAGTGATTCTCCTGCCTCAGCCACCTGAGTAGCTGGGATTACAGGTGCCCATCACCAGGCCTAGCTAATTTTTTGCTAATTTTAGTAGTGATGAAGTTTCACCATGTTGGCCAGGCTAGTCGCGAACTCCCATTGTGTCATTCGTGTTTGTGTTTAAGGAGGCTAATGATATCATTCGCCATTGTATCATTTGCCTTTGTGTTTAAGGACGCTAATGATAGGACCCTAATCCCTTCCAGATTGTAGGATTTCTGTTGAGAAATCTGTTAATCTGATGATAGGTTTTCCATTACAGGTTACCTGATACTTTTGCCTCACAGCTCTTAAGATTCTTTCCTTTGTCTTAACTTCAGATAACCTGATGACTATGTGCATAGGTGATGATCTTTTTGCAATAAATTTCCCAGGTGTTCTTTGAGCTTCTTGTATTTGGATGTCTAGATGTCTAGCTAGGCTGGGGAAGTTTTCCTTGATTATTTTCTCAAATATGTTTTTGAGGCTTTTAGATTTCCCTTCTTTTTCAGGAACACCAATGATTTTTAGGTTGGTTGTTTAACATAATCCAAAACTTCTTGGAGGCTTTGCTCATTTTTTTATTTCTTTTGTCTTTACCTTTGTTGGATTAGGTTAATTCAAAAACCTTGTCTTTGAGCTCTAAAGTTCTTCTTCTACTTGTTCAATTATTTTGCCAAGACTTTCCAGTACATTTTGCATTTCTCCAAGTGTGTCCTTCATTTCCAGAAGTTGTAACTATTTTTTGTTTATCCTATCTATTTCACTGGAGATTTTCCCATTCATATGCTGTATCTTTTTTTAAATTATTATTTCCTTAAGTTGGACCTAGCCTTTCTTTTGTGCTTCCCTGATTGGCTTAATAGTTGACCTTCAGAGTGTTTTTTTCTGGTAGTTCAGAGAATTTGTCTTGGTTTGGATCCATTTCTGGTGAGCTGGTGTGATCTTTTGGGAATGTTAAATAACCTTGTTTAGTCATCTTACCAGAATTGTCTTTCTGGTTTATTCTCACTTGGGTAGACTATTAGTGAGGACCTGGGACTCAAGGGCTGTTGTGCAGATTCTTTTGTCCCATGGGGTGCTTTCTTGAAGTGGTGCTCTCCTCTTTCCCCTAGGGATGGGGTTTCCTTATAGCTAAACTACAGTGATTGCTATTTCTCTTCTGTATCTAACCACCCAGTGGAGCTACCAGGCTCTGGGCTGGTACTGCGGAGTGTCAGCAAGGAGTAATGTGATCTGTCTTCAGGTCTTGCACCCATGTATACAAGCATGTGCCCCAGTGGAGGTAGCAGGGCAGTGAAGTGGACTCTGTGAGGGTCCTTGGTTGTATTTTTGTTAAGTGCACTGGTTTTGGGTTGATTGGCCTCCAGCCAGGAGGTGACTCTTTCAAGAGTGCGTCAGCTGAGATAGTATAGGGAGGATGAGGCAGGAGGTGGGGTTATAGAGCTTTCAAGAGATGATGTCCTTTGTCTTTGGAGTTCCTTGGGAGTCTCATGGAGCCTGCAGCAGCAATTCACCTCCTTCAAAGAGTCTGTGGATTCTCTCAGCTTTCCTGGTATGTTCCTGTTGTAGTTCTTGGTGCAAAAGTTCACAGCGTGGGTCTCCACACACTGCTCTGTCTGTCTGAGTGGGAGCTGTAAGTTGTCCTGCCTCCTATCTGCTATTTTCCCTCCACAATTTCTGTTTTATTAATTTAGCTAGGCTGAACTATATTTTCCAGGATCCTTTTCTAATGCATTTCCACATAGAGTGGACTACAAGTGATGTTTTCTAGTAAGTGTCGGAGAACAGAAGGGAGGCAGTGGCCATTTTATAGTAAAAAATACCTTCTCTCAGTATTTCAAACAAACACTAATTTAGGTGTTGCTGCGAAGGGATTTTTCAGATGTTATTAAATTCTCTAACCTAGTTGACTTTAACTTAATTAAAATGGAAACTACTGGATATTCCTATTTAGTAAGAAGCTCTCTATAGTGGGACACAGGTCCTCTTTGAGTTCAGAGACTACAAGTTTCAGCGAGTGCCTACGCATCTCCAGCCTGCTCTACTTCCTTTCCTGACAGCCTGCCCTGTGGACTTTCAGTTTGCTTAGCCAGACCCTACAATTGCATATGAGAATTCCTTGTAATAAATCTCCTTTTCATCTGTTTCTTTCCAATGGGTTCTGCTTCTCTGACTGAGAAGCAGACATACAAAGCATGTACTCAGTAAATGTTGTCATCCAAAGGACCAACAGGATTGCTACATAGTGGAAAAGAGAGTTTTATTGGTAATATCTGTTTATAAGTTAGGGAGAAATATTCTCTGGTGTGAACTGAAAGCGCTGTCTCCAAAGATCAAAGAAAAGGTTAGAGGTTTTATTTTCATAAATAAATATGTGTTAGGTATTGCCTTTGAGAAATTTCATTGGCACTAGTAAGGTTTTGAGGAACTGGGAAGCTCTGAAGTGAAGGTGGTGGACAAAATTAGTCTGAGCTGCTGCAGATTGTTTAGCACTCATTAGATAAAACTGGTTCAGGTTACTTCAGGCAGTCAGTTGCCAGGCTTGCAAAGTATTACATTTTTGCAGCAATGTTTTGTGTCCTGAGTGCTGTTTCTACTCACTTCTCAACTCTGCTTTAGTCGGCTATGACAAGAATGACCCACTTTGTACAAATGACTTTCATAAGTTTTTTGTTTTTTTGTTTTTTTTGAGACAGAGTCTTGCTCTGTCGGCCAGGCTAGAGTGCAGTGGCACGATCTCGGCTCGCTGAAACCTCTACCTCCCAGGCTCAAGCAATTCTCCTGCCTCAGCCTCCCTAGTAGCTGGGACTACAGGTGTCTGCCACCACACTGGACTAATTTTTGTATTTTTAGTAGAGATGGGGTTTCACCATGTTGGCCAGACTGGTCTAGAACTCCTGACCTCAGGTGATCCACCCAACTTGGCCTCCCAAAGTGCTGGGGTTGCAGGCATGAGCCACCATGTCCGGCGACTTTCACAGTTTTAAATGAATAAATATATTTTAGATTATTTCCATCAGAAGGTTTATATTCATGAGTGACCAGAAAATGGGAAGATGATCTGAAAAAATTATAAAAATTTATGGCTCCTCCTTATTTGATAATATAAATATTCAAAACTGATTTTGATTGGATGAATTTAGATTTGTGTTTTGTGTTTATTTCAAGACCATTAATATTATTTCCCAATATTTTATAGATGTGCAAAAAGTACCTAATGTAGGAGTAAAGTTTACAAACCAGTAGTTAAATTTATTCAGCTAATATTTATTGAGTGCCTACTGTGCACCAGATAGTCATCAAGGCAGTAAGAATTTGTCAATAAACAAAGCAGGAAAACAAACAAACAAGCAACCATCCTTACTCACACAAAATTTGCATTCTAGCTATTAAGAACTAATCAGTCAATTAATCAGCTATTGAGCCCTGATAATGTGCCAGACTCTAATGTGAGGTTTTAGGGATGAGAGTAACTCAAGATAGGCCCCTGCCTTCAAATGTGACAAAACACAGGCTTAATCTGCTAATATGCTTATTACTGATGCTTATTACTATGAGCTATTTAAGCCAGTGTGCTCAAAGAATTTATCTATGTGTCCTAAACTCTGAACTATTTTCTCATGGCTTTTGTTTTGAAATGAGATCCAATTTGGTGTAAGGCAGAGATAATTGGGACTGTCCAAACTTTCAGATTATTTCAATACCACAATTCTCCTTATAACATATTAAATCTCTTATGAAAACATATTCATGGGCCAGGCACGGTGGCTCATGCCTGTAATCCCAGCACTTTGGGAGGCCAAGGCAGGTGGATCACCTGAAATCAGGAGTTTGAGACCAGCCTGATCAACATGGAGAAACCCCATCTCTACTAAAAATACAAAATTAGCCAGATGTGGTGGCACATGTCTGTAATCCCAGCTACTCGGGAGGCTGAGGCAGCAGAATCACTTGAACTCAGGAGGTGGAGGTTGTGGTGAGCCAAGATTGTGCCATTGCACTCTAGCCTGGGCAACAAGAGCAAAACTTCATCCCCCAAAAAACAAAAAACAAAACAACAACAACAACAACAACAACCATACTCATTAGACTAGATATCAGTTACCTTTTGATTGTTTCAAAATTACTACCCCACTTGGAAACATCTCCTGCTATGACACCCATACATTTTCAATTTCCATTTTGTTGTTTTTTATAATCTCTTCTATATTTTTCATCTTTGCTCATCCTAGTTCTAATATCTGCCTTTATTTACTGGCCACTGCTTCGATTTGAAAGAGCAAATAACTTTTGAAAAGAAGTCTGGAATTTTTCTCTTCTTAGTGTTTCTAATAGCATTTAGCACAACACTTGACATATGGTAGATATGTAGTAAAAGTTAATTAAGTATGCAAATGAATAAACCATAATTTTTTATTATTATATTTTATGTAATTTTTTATAGTAGCCTAAAAATTTAAAATACATGAAATAACTTGAGGGTAACATATTCTTACTTTAACAAACTGATAAAAATAAAAGGAACTCTTTTTTAAAGAACACTTCAGATTGATCCTCCTTAAGCCTAAGGAAGTAATTAGGTTTTTAATATCAGAATTGGATTTATTTGAAAATTTTGATTTTTTTAAGCCTCAAGAAATTATTGTAGTCCTTTAACCAAAACTATCTATTTTAAAATGTAACTTCTATGATTAAAAATTAAAAATAATTATGAAAATAGATGACAAATATACATGTGGAAATGGAAATATTGAGATGTTGCTGATTTAAAACTGAAAAGGCATCTGTTAAGTTGCGTTTTCATTTCCTTTTCTATTTGCTCCAGTGGATTACCTGCTTTTTGTTTTTCTTTTCCCAATATGATATTGGACCAAGTTTTTGAGTATTCCCTGGACTTGTAGGAAGCAGAATACTACCAGTGGTTCTACCTAAGCCCAAAGCAAGCACTCTTCCATTTGGAAATTTCTAAGGCATTTAGTGCCATAACAAGAAAGAAATACCCAGGGACAAGATGATTATCTCATTTTCTTCTAAAATTTGTCCATAGTCAAAGATATATATGGAGGAAAATTATGGCTCTTTTTACAAAGGAGAGATAAAATGCTTCTGCTTTTTGAGGACCCCAGTGAGCTGACATGGAGCTTCAGTGGTTGCTGAGGGAGAGTTATATGCAGGGGGATAGTCATTGCTTATGTAAACTTTTCATTGCCACTTTCTCACTGTAGATCTTGTCTTGGCTAGGGTGGGAATTAAGAATTCAAAAGTTTAGAGAAATGAAGGGTTGGACACTTCCAGCAGCAAGGCAAGCTGGAGGCAGCAGAATGAAGTAGATGACCAATCAGGTTGTGAGAACTTCTCTTGCATAAATTGTAACATTTGAGTAGTCTTTGTCAGTGAAATGAATGAAGGTAGACACCTTCCTTCACAGTGCTATCCTGGTCTACCCTGTTTATGTTAGTAGATGTTTGTTAAGATTATTTTAACTACAGTTTCCTGAAGAGCAATTGAAAAAAACAATAAACTAATTTTGGGGGCAAAAAAATGCATATCATTGAATTTTCTGTACTGGCTATCTAAAAACTTGGTATTAAATTTGTATTTGGCACTTGAATACAATGTGGTAACATACTGATCTTACAATTTTCTTCATCAAGCTAATTCCAAAATATTAGATATCATTACGAGCTTCAAAAACCAAGTTACAAAATAATTACATACCGTATGATTCAATTTTTATAAAAACCAATTAAATATGTATCTGCATGTGCATGCATATGCATGGGGAAATCTTCAACACTACATATGTATGTTAATTCTAAGTGATGATCTTGTACATGATTTTATTTAAGTTTGTAACTTTTACAAAAATGTTTCATTGATACTTTTAGAAGTTTCAAGATGTTTGCGCAGAAGCAAAAATATGATATCAAAAATTTTTGAATAGGTTAACCAGATAAAGCTTATTCTGTTTTCCATGGGTGATGAGACCTATTTTCACATATTAACTGATGAATATTCCTTTTTCTGCTCTTCTCCAATGCTGTTGTAGCCCTTCTTTTGTCCAAGATGTTAGACCAAATTATTTCCCTGTCTCAGGAAGGGGATGATACCACAGAACCAAAGAACAAACAAGGCAATTCTCAGAATGAGGTTCAAAATAAGTTTTCAAAACTGGGGACACAGTAGCAATCTGTGTTTCCTTGTGACAGCCTAGGTTGGTTGATATGCACATCATCATATGTCCCTGTGGAGAGATGATGATAGAAAGACAGATTCTCTGTCACTCGCCCCTCCATCTCAGCAAAACCTCACGACATTATATATATAATGTCATTATATATATGCACACACATATATAATTATATATATAATGTCATGACCTTATGACATTATTTAGGCTCTCAAAATTTAGAAATAACTCTAGGGAGAGTGGAGAAAATGCCTTCAATTATGTAAAATGAGGACTAGAAGTAGAGGTGATATGCAGAGATAGGAAAATAAAAGCATTTTACCCATTTTTGCTGAGTTGGTAGTCTTAATATTTATTACACATATAGCCTAATGCCAACCATAAAATCAGATGTTATATACTACTATATACTATAAACATATAGAGCAGAAGAAGAAATATTCATCACTTAATATGTGAAAATAGGTCTCATCACCAATGGAAAACAGAATAAGCTTTATTTGGTTAACTTATTCAAAAATTTTTGATATCATATTTTTGCTTCTGCGCAAACATCTTGAAACTTCTAAAAGTATCAATGAAAGATTTTTGTAAAACTTACAAACTTAAATAAAATCATATACAAGTTCATCACTTAGAATTAACATACATATGTAGCATTGAAGATTTTCCCATGCTTTTGTTCCATTTGCTCCAAACTCCTATGCTATCATAATTACATATTTTTTATTTGTTGAAAATAAAGATATTGAGTGGAAAATCCCATTATACCTCTGTTTCTTAGCTCCAAACCACACTGAAAATTCTTTATTATGAGTCTAATAGCCTTCTTTAGGCAGCTATTCATCTGAGTTAACAACATATTAGGCCTATTTCTCCCAGAAGGCCCATAAAATCAAGTGCATGAGATTGTATTAAACATTAACAGTGAGGACAATGTTCAACTTTATTAAAGTTGCTGTCAAGTATGCAGATACCAGCATTTTCCTTTTGTTCATTCATGTGGCCAACATATGTTAACCAGATGTCTACTATATAAGCAAACATGATAGTAGATGCCTATCCCAGAGCCCATGGTTTTGTGTAACTGACAGGGTAGGAGCACTAGAGGTAAAAGACTTCTGAGGAAGATTTTGAGGATTTAGAAAAGTCTTTTTAAACAATCAGGTCCATGAGGAATCAACTCTCCATATCCCTAACCCCCTGCTTCTATCACCTACTGATTAGGCCTCAGCTTAAGTCTTCTCTAAGCTAATTGCATTAGGTCAGGTGGTCAAGTCTTTATTCCCAAGCTATTCAAGTTTCACTTCCTACCTCAACCTCATGCTTGACTGTTTCTTCCTTTAGCTTATTGACTGAAGTCTACCGGCTTAAACACCTTTGCCTTTTGGATGACAGGAGAATCAATTTTTGTGTAAAAATATCACTGAAGAATCTTTTCTTATACACTATTATAATTAAAAAAACTCTTTGAAGCCAATTATTTCAAAACTATTATCACAAAACTAATTATCGCCGATCTATTATGACTTCGGAGCAAAATTACATTCTTCGTCATTTTTTAAAATAAAAATACACATTAAGGTGATCATAATTTTTAATCCTTTAAAGAAACATGGAAGGTTACTGTCCTTTTACACAACTATTCCAGAATATTCTTCTCTTTTCTTTCTTAAGAGACAGTTTCTCACTCTGTCACATAGGTTGGAGTTCAGTGGTGTGATCGTAACTCACTGTAATCTAAAGCTCCTGTGCTCATGGTATTCTTCCTGCCCCATCCTCCTAAGCAGCTAGGACTAGAGCTACATGTCACCACACCAGACTATTTTTTAAAAACTTTGTAGAGATTAGGTGTCCCTATGTTGCTCAGGTTGACCTTGCACTTTTAGCCTCAAGCAATCCTCTTGCCTTGATCTCCTAAAAGGCTGAGATTATAGGTGTAAGCTATTCCAGAATATTCTAAGGATGTTTTTGTCTAAATATACTTAAATGCAATAGATAATTGTTCTGCTGTTGCAAAAAAGACTCAAAGAAGCAAGGTTCAGAATAGTGTGACTACTATACTATCATTTGTGGAAAGGAAATATGTACTTATGTGTACTTAAATATACACAGAAGGTTTTTTGTTTGTCCTTTTTTTTTTTTTTTTTTTTTTGAGACAGGTCTTGCTCTGTTGTCCAGGCTTGAGTGCAATGGCACAGCTAACTGCAAGCTCTGCCTCCTGGGCTGAAGTGATCCTCTCACCTCAGCCTCCTAAGTAGCTGAAACCACAGGCATGCACCACCGCACCCGGCTAATTTTTGTATTTTTTGTAGAGATGGGGTTTTGCCATGTTGCCCAGGCTGTTCTCAAACTCCTGGGCCCAAGCCACCCACCTGCCTAGGCCTCCCACAGTGCTGGGATTACAGGCATGAGCCACTGCACCCGGCTGATGTTTTTGAAGTGATCCATAAAACTGTTCATAGTGACTGTGGGGTGCTGAGAGTTTTTTAAGTTTTGTGGTTATGTTTGGATACAGGCAGGAAATGTGAAATAATCATATCATGGAGAATGGGGTATCCATCCCCTCAAACATTTATCCTTTGAATTACAAACAATCCAGTTGTACTGTTTTAGTTATTTTAAAATATACAGTTAAGTTGTTATTGATTATAGTCACCCTGTTGTGCTATCAAATACTAGGTCTTATTCATTCTTTATAACTATATTTTTCTACACATTAACCATTCCTACCTTCCTTCAAGCCCTCCCCCTACCCTTCCCAGCTTCTGGTAACCATCCTTCTAGTCTATGTCCATGAGTTCAATTGTTTTGAATTTTAGATCCCACAAATAAGTGATAACATGCGATGTTTGTCTTTCTGTGTCTGGCTTAACATAATCATCTTCAGTTCCATCCATATTGCTGCAAATAACAGGATCTTATTTTTTTTTAATGGTAGAATAGTACTCCATTGTGTTTACCACTTTTTTAAATTCATTCATCTGTTGATGAAGACTTAGATTGTTTCTAAATATTATCTATTGTGAACAGTGTTGCAACCAACTTGGGAGTGCAGATATCTATTTGATATACTGATTTCCTTTCTTTTGGGTATATATCCAGCAGTGGGATTGCTGAACTATGTGGTACATCCCTGCCAACAGTGTATAAGGAAGGAGGTTCCCTTTTCTCTACATCCTCACCAGCATTTATTATTCCCTATCTTTTTGATATAAGCCATTTTAAATTGCCTATCTTTTGGATATAAGCCATATCTCACTGTAGTTTTGATTTGCATTTTTCTGATGATAAATGATGTTGAGCACATTTTCATATGCCTGTTTGCCATTTGCATGTCTTCTTTTGAGAAATATCTATTCAAACCTTTTGCCTAGTTTTTTATTGAATTAGTACATTTTTTCCTACAGAGTTGTTTGAGCTGCTTGCACATACTGGTTATTAATTCCTTGTAATATGGATAGTTTGCAAATATTTTCTCCCATTCTATGGGTTGTCTGTTTACTTTGCTGATTGTTTCCTTTGCTGTGCAGAAGCTTTTTAATGTAATGTGATCCAATTTGTCAATTTTTGCTTTGGTTGCCGGTGCTTGTGGGGTATTGCTCAAGAGATTTTTTTTTCCCAGACCAATGTCCTGGAGATTTTCCCCAGTGGTTTTTTGAAGTAGTTTCATAGTTTGAGGTCTTAGATTAAAGTCTTTAATCCATTTTGAGTTTTTTTATATGGTGAGAGATAGGGGTATAGTTTCATTCTTCTGCATGTGGATATCCAGTTTTCTCAGTGCTGTTTATTGAAGAGACTGTTCCCTAGTGTATGTTCTTGGCACCTTTGTCGAAAATGAGGTCTCTGTAGTTGTGTGGATTTGTTTCTGGGTTCTCTATTCTCTTTCATTGGTCTATGTGTCTGTTTCTATGCCAGAACCATACTGTTTTGGTTACCATACCTCTGTAGCATAATTTGAAGTCAGGTAATGTGATTCCTCTAGTTTTGTTCTTTTTGCTTAGGATGGCTGTGGCTATTCTGGATCTCTTGTGGTTCTATATAAAGTTTATAATTTTTTTGTGTGAAGAGTGTCATTGGTATCTTAACAAGGATTTCATTGCATCTATAGATTGCTCTATTAGTGTGTTTTCATACTCCTATAAAGAACTTTCTGAGCCTGGGTAATTTATAAAGGAAAGAGGTTTAATTGACTCACAGTTCTGCATGGCTAGAGAGGCCTCAGGAAACTTAATATCATGGCAGAAGTCAAAGGGGAAGCAAGGCACCTTCTTCACAAGGTGGCAAGAAGAAGAGTGAACAAGTGAAGGGGGAAGAGACCCTTATAAAATCATCAGATCTTGTGAGAACTCACTCACTATCATGATAACAGCATAGGGGAAACCACCCCATTATTCAATTACCTCCACCTGGTTTCTCCCTTGACACATGGGGATTATGGGGATCACAATTCAAGATTAGATTTGAATGGGAACATAAAGTCTAACCATATCATTTCACCCTGGCTCCTCCCAAATCTCATGTTCCTTTTACATTTCAAAACCAATCAGTGTCTTCCCAACAGTCCACCAAAGTCTTAATTCATTCCAACATTAACCCAAAAGTCCAAGTTCAAAGTCTCATCTGAGACAAGGCAAGTCTCTTCCACCTATGAACCTGTAAAATCAAAAGCAAGTTAGTTACTTCCCAGATACAATGCGGTTACAGGCATTGAGTAAGTATATCCATTCTAAATGGGAGAAACTGGCCAAAATGAAGGGGCTACAGGACCCAGGCAAGTCCAAAATCCAGCAGGGCAGTCAAATCTTAAAGCTCCAAAATAATCTCCTTTGATTCCATGTCTCATATCCAGGTCATGCTGATGCAAGAGGTAGACTCCCATGGTCTTGGGCAGCTCTGCTCCTGTGGCTTTGCAGAATACAGCCCCTAGTCCTGGCTGCTTTCCCTCACTGGTGTTGAGTGTCTGCAGTGTCTGCAGCTTTTCCAGGTGGATGGTGCAAGCTGTCAGTGACTCTACCATTCTGGGATCTGGAGGATGGTAGCCCTCTTCTCACAGCTTCATTAGGCAGTGCTCAGTGGGGTCTCTGTGTGAGGCCTCTGACCTCATATTTCCCTTCTGCACTGCCCTAGCAGAGGTTCTCCATGAGGACTCTGTCGCAGCAGCACACCTCTGCCTGAACATCCAGGCCTTTCCATACATCCTCTGAAATCTAGTTGGAGGTTCCCAAACCTCAGTTCTTGACTTTTGTGCACTGAAAGGCCTAACACATGAATATACCAGCAAGGCTTGGGGCATGTTCCCTCTGATGCAACAGCTTGAGCTGTACATTGGCCCCTTTTAGCTATGGCTAAGATGCAGAACACCAAGTCCTGAGACTGCACAAAGCTTAGTCCATCAAACTATTTTTTTCTCCTAGGCCTCCCGGACTTGATGGGCGTGGCTGTTGTGCAGACCTCTGACATGCTTTGAAGAAATTTTCCCCATTGTCTTGGCAATTTACAATTGTATTACCTCTCTACTTATGCAAATTTCTGCCACCAGCCTAAATTTCTCCCCAGAAAACTTTTTTTTTCTTTTCTATTGCATCATCAGGCTGCACATTTTAAACTTTTATGCTCTGCTTCACTTTCAAATATAAGTTCAAATTCCAAATCATCTCTTTGAGAGTGCATAAAACTGAATGCTTTTAAGAGCACACAAGTTAAATCTTGAATGCTTTGCAGCTTAGAAATTTCTTCTACCAGACACCCTAAATCATCTCTCTCAAGTCCAAAGTTCCACAGATCTCTAGGGCAGGGCAAAATGCCACCAATCTCTTTGCTAAAGCATAGTGAGAGTCACCATTATTCTAGTTCTCAACAAGTTCCTTATCTCCATCTGAGACCACCTCGGCCACATCTTCTTGTCTTCTTCTGAGCCCTCCAAACTGTTCCAACATCTGCTTGTTACCCAGTTCCAAAATTGTTTTTTTGATATCTTTATAGTAGTGCCCCACTACTTCTGTACCAATTTACTGTATTAGTCAATTTTCATACTGGTTTAAAGAACTGCCCAACTTTGGGTAATTTCCTGAAGGAAAGAGGTTTAATTGACTCACAGTTCGGCATGGCTGGGGAGGCCTCAGGAAACTTAATATCATAGTGGAAGGCAAAGGGGAAGCAAGACACCTTCACAAGGTGGCAGGAAGGAGAAATGCTGAGTGAAGGGGGAAGAGCCCCTTATGAAACCATCAGATCTTTTGAGAACTCACTATCATGAGAACATCACGGAGGCAACTGTCTTTATGATTCAACTACCTCCACCTGGTCTCTCCATTGACACGTGGCGATTATGAGGATTATGATGAGAGATGAGATTTGGGTGGGAACATAAAGCCTAACCATATTAATTGGTATTAGTTTTTCATTAAATGTTTGGTAGCATTCAGCAATTAAGCCATCAGGTCCTGGGCTTTTTTTTTTGTTTTTTTCTAGGAGGCTTTTTATTATGGCTTTTATTTCATTACTTGTTATCAGTCTATTTAGGGGTTTCAGATTTCTTCCTAGTTCAATCTTGGTAGGTTGTGTGTCTTTAGAAATTTTTCCATTTCTTTTAGATTTTCCAATTTATTGGCATATAATTGCTCAAAGTAGCCACTGATAATCCTTTGAATTTCTGCAGTAACAGTTGCTAATTTAAAATTTTTTTTTAACACCTGGAAGTCATTACATCTGCAGTATCAGCTGTAATATCTCTTTTTAAAAAATTTCTAATTGTATTTATTTGGATCTTCTTCCCTTTTATCTTAGTCTGGCTAAAGCTTTGTCAATTTTATTTAACCTTTCTAAATACCACCCTTTTGTTTCATTGAGCTTTTGAATTGTTTTCTTGATTCATGTGTTTCTGTTTTAATCTTTATTATTTCTTTCTTTATACCAATTTTTGGTTCAGTTTACTATCACTTTTCTAGTTCTTTAAGATTCATCATTAGATTATTAATTTCAAGTGTTTCCTCTTTTTTGAGGTAGGTACTTACAGCTATAGACCTCCCTGTTAGTATTACTTTTGCTGTATCCCATAGGTTTTGGTATGATGTGTTTCCATTATCACTTGTTTCAATACATTTTTTGATTTTCTTTTTAATTTCTTTATTGATCCACTGGTTCTTCAGGAGTATATTGTTTGATTTCCATATATTTGTATAGCTTCTAAAATTTCTCTAGTTATTGATTTCTAGTTTTAGTCCATTGTGGTCAAAGAAGATGGTTGATATTACTTCAATTTTTAAAAATGTTTTAAGACTTGTTTTGTTACCTAATGTAAGGTGTATCCTTGAACATCATCCATGTGCTGAGGAAAAGAATGTGTATTCCCCTGCTATTGAATGAAATGTTTTATAAATATAAATTAGATCCAGTTGGTCCACAGTGTAGATTAAGTCTGATGTTTCTTTGTTGATTTTCTGTCTGGAAGTTTAGTTCAAGGCTAAAAGTAGGGTATTGAAGTGTCCAGCTATTATTGTAGTGGGGCCTATCTCTTTAGCTCTAATAATATTTGTTTTATATATCTGGGTGTTCCAGTTTTGGGTGCATGTATATTTAAAATTATTAGATCCTCTTGCTGAATTGACCACTTTATCATTATATAGTAACATCCTTTTTCTCTTCTTATAGTTTTTGTCTGAAAATCTATTTGTTTGATATAAGTATAATGACTCCTGATCTTTTATTTTCATTTCCGTTGGCATGGAATATCTTTTTCAATCTCTTTATTATCAATTTATGTGTGTCTTCATAGGTGAAGTTTTTTTCCTTATAGTCAACAGACCAACACGTCTTGTTTTTTCATCATTCCAGCCAGTCTATGTCTTTTGATTGGAGAGTTTAGTTCATTTGCATTTAATGTTATTATTGATAAATACAAACTCCTGCCATTTTGTTACTTGTTTTCTGGTTGTTTTGTGGTCTTCTCTTCCTTCTTTCTTTTCTTCCTGACTTCCTCCAGTGAAGGTGATATTTTTCTGGTGAGATGACTTAATTTCTTGCTTTTTATATTTTTGTGTATTCATTTTATATTTTTTGGTTTCAGATTACCATGCGACTTATGAATACTATCTTATAACTTATAATTTTAACCTGATAAAAACTTCACTGATTGCATAAACAGAAAAGCAAAAAGAAAATAAAAATTATATGCTTTAATTTGTTTCCTTTGCTTTTTAACTTTATGTTGTTTCTATTTATATCTTATGGTACTGTTTATGTCTTGAAAAATTGTTTTAGTTATTATTTTTGGTATGTGCATCATTTAGTCTTTCTACTAAAGATAAGAGTAGTTTACACACCACAGTTACAGTATTATAATATTCTGTGTTTTTCTGTATACTTACTATTACTAGTGAGAATTTTTTTTCCTTCATTTGATTTCTTATTGCTCATTAATGTCCTTTCTTTCTGATTGAAGTGCTCTCTTTAGCATTTCTTGCAGGACAGGTCTGGTGTTGGTGAAATCTCTCAGCTTTTGTTTTTCTGGGAAAGTGTTTATTTCTTTTTCATGTTTGAAGAATATTTTCACTAGCTATACTACTCTAGGGTAAAAGTTTTTTTCCCTTAGCTCTTTAAATATGTTATTCCAATCTCTCCTGGCTTGTAAGGTTTCCACTGAAAAGTCTGCTGCCAGATGTATTGCAGCTTCATTGTAAGTTATTTACTTCTTTTCTGTTGCTGCTTTAATAATCCTTTCTTTATTCTTGATCTTTGGGAGTTTATTTAATGCCTTGAGGTAGTCTTCTTTAGACTAAATCTGCTTGGTGTTCTATAACCCTATTTTACTTAGATACTGATAGTTTTCTGCAGGTTTGAGAAGTTCTCTGCTATTATCCTTTTTTTTTCTTCTTTCTTTTTTTTTTTTTTTTTTTTGAGATGGAGTCTTGCTCTGTTGCCCAGGCTGGAGTACAGTGATGAGATCTTGGCTCACTGCAAGCTCTGCCTCCCACCATTCTCCTGTCTCGGCTTCCCAAGTAGCTGGGACTACAGGTGCCTGCCACCATGTCTGGCTAATTTTTTGTATTTTTAGTAGAGATGGGGTTTCACTGTGTTAGCCAGGATGATCTCGATCTCCTGACCTCATGATCTGCCTGCCTCAGCCTCTCAAAGTGCTGGGATTACAGGCATGAGCCACTGCGCCCGGCCTGTTATTATCCATTTGAATAAACTTTCTACCCCATCTCTTTTGTACTTCCTCTTCAAGGCCAATATCACCTAGATTTATTCTTTCAAGGCTATTTTCTAGGTCATGTCTCAGTGCTTCATTGTTTTTTATTTTTTTTCTTTTTTCTTCTCTGTCAGTGTATTTCTAAATAGACTGTCTTCAAGCTCACTTGTTCTTTCTTCTGCTTGATCAATTCTGCTATTAAAAGACTCTGATGTATTCTTCAGTATGCCCCTTGCATTTTTCAGCTCCAGAATTTCTGCTTTATTCCTCTTAATTATTTAAATCTTTAAAAATATTATCTGACGGAATTCTGAATTATGTGTCTGTTTTATCTTGAATTTCTTTGGATTTCCTCAAATAGCTATTTTGAGTTTCCTGTCTGAAAGTTTGCCTATATCTGTTTCTCCAGGATTGGTCCCTGGTGCCTTATTTAATTTTTCTCTGTCATGTTTTCCTGGATGGTGTTGATACTAATAAATGTTCTTCAGTGTCTGGGTATTAAAGTGTTTTGTATATGTTATAGTCTTAACTATCTAGGCTTATTGGTACCTGTCCTTCTTGAAAAGACTTTCTGGATATTTAACCGACTTGGGTATTGTGATCTAAACTGGAGCTGCTGTAGAGGCCACTCCAAGCCCAGTAATGCTGTGGTTCTTGTGGACTTGTGGAGGTACTTTCTTGATTGTCTTGGACAAGATCCAAGATAATTCTCTGAATTACTGGGCAGAGACTCTTGTTCTCCTCTTTCCTTTCTTTCAAGCAAACAGAGTCTTTCTCTCTCTCTGTTCTGAGGCACATAAAGCTGGGAGTTGAGTGACAGAAGTACCCTTGTGGCCACCAACACTATGACTGTGCTAGATTATACCTGAAGCCACCGCAGCACTGAGTCTCACCCAAGGCCTGCTATAAGCACTCTCCATCCACTGCCTATGTTTGCTCAAGCCTGCAAGGCTCTCTCTGCAATCAACAAGTGGCAAAGCCAGCCAGGCAAATATCTTTCCATTCAAGGTGCTGAGTTATATCAGGCCTGAAGTGGGTCTGGAAGTGCTGTCTGGGAGTCAAGGACCACAGTAAAAAATCTTGGAAATCTACCTGGTGTTCTACTGTACTACAGCTGAGCTGACATTCAAATTACAAGATACAGTCCTTCCCCTCTTCCCTTCTCTTTCCAAAGGGACAAATACCTCATCCTGTAGCCACTGCCACCACAGGCCATAGAGAATATTGCCAGACTATCACTGATGTTCCTTTAGAGCCCATAAACTCTTAAGTCAGCTTCTGGTGAATGTTACTTGGCCTGCGAACACCCTTGCCATTTCAGGGCAGTGGGCTCATCTGTGATGTCAAGCAGGTTGAGAAATGCCATCCAAGAGTCAAGTCCTGGAATTAAGGACCCCAAAAACCTGGTTGGTGCTCTACTCCTCTGTGGCTGTGCTGCTACCGGAGGACAGTACATCTCAGAGGTTCACCCAAGGCCATTGACCTGGTTATCGATGCTGGTTATTCATGGCCAAAGGGCTGTTAGCAGGAAATGAATGCTGCCAGGACTGGGTCTTTCCCTTTAAGGGAATGGGTTCCCTTCTGGCCCAAGTTGTGTCAAGAAATGTCATCCAGGAGCTAGAGCCTGCAATGGAGGCCTCATTGCTCTGACCAGTGCTCTATCCTGCTGTGGTTGAGATGGTATCTGAGATGCAAGACAAAGTCCTCCCCATTTTTACCTCTTCTCTCCTCAAGCAGAAGGAAAGGGTCTCTTTTGGAACCTTAAGCTTTGTAGCCAGGGGTTAAGGCAGAGGTGATGCCAGTACTCTCTTTGCTGGCCCAGCTGCTGTCTCAGCTTGTCACATGCTTCCCCCCACCCCATGCCAAGTCCACTGTCTATGGGCCCAGTTCAGCACTAGGACTTGTCTAAGTATTGCAGTCTTTGTGGCCTACAGTAATTTCAGGATTACTTAGAGACCCAGAGCAATTTATCCCTCCATGGCAAGGTTTGGACTGCTAGGATCAGCAATTTTCCTCTGGCCAGGGACAGTTTAAATGTTCCCTTCATGGGCGGGTGTCAACTGAGTTTTGTCTAGGTTTTCTTTATGCTCTAACAGGACTGCACTGCGTCCAATGCCTCACAATTGCTGTGTTCTGCCTCCTACTGTGCCCAGAGTGTCTCTTCACATCACAGTCTTCACATCACTCTGCACAGACACTCTTCACATCACATCACACCACTTCATCACACCGCTTCACATCACACCACTTCACATCACACCACTGTGGCTGGGGTGAGTGGGGGAGTGGTGGTTGGATGGCATTGGTGATTCCAGACTTTTTTTTTTCCTATTTCTTCAGTGCCTCTTTCAGTGATGCAAAGGTAAAACAAGGTACTATGGGGCTCACCTGATTTTTGATTCTTTCAAAGGTGTTTTTATCCTATGTAGATAGTTGTTAAGTTGGTGTCCTTGCCAAGGGAATAATTGGTGGAGCCTTCTATTCTACCGTCTTTCTTTGCCTCTTCTCAAGAATTTTGAATGGGGAAAAATCTTGTATTTCATAATAAAGCCTTTTATGATGTTTGACTTATTATAGAAAACCACATCCGTATATTAGTTTTTAAATTGAAAAAATAACCTAGAAGTATATGTATTTATAACATCTTGGAAATTATCTATGCCAATCTCTTCATTTTTAAAAATAAGGAAACAGGTTCAGGGAAGTTATAATTTTTCCCTATCATAGAGTAAGTGAGAGTAGAGAAGCTGAGTTCAGATTCCTCAGTGGCTATTCTTTCTCCAGTATTTATTTTTAGTAGATTAAAGAACTCAGGAGATATGTCCATGAGGAAATCATATACTCTATGGGACTAATTTTTATAGTGTGCCTATATTTAATATTTTATAAGTATATGCATATGCTATCAGTTGAATTGTGTTCCTCTAAAAGGGATATGTTAATGTTCTAACCCTCAGTACTTCAGAATGTCACTTTATGTGATAGCTAATACTGCCTGTCAATTTGATTAGATTGAAGGATGCAAAGAATGGATCCTCGGTGTGTCTGTGATGGTGTTGCCAAAGGAGATTAACATTTGAAGTAGTGAGCTGGGAAAGGCAGAACCACATTTAATCTGGGTGGACACAATCAAATCAGCTTCCAGCATGGCTAGAATATAAAAAGCAGGCAGAAAAAAATGTGAAAAGACTAGACTGGCTTAGCTTCCCAGCCTACATCTTTCTCCCATGCTGGACGCTTCTTGTCCTCAAACATCAGACTCCAAATTCTTCAGTTTTGGGACTTGGACCGGCTCTCCTTGCTCCTCAGCTCGCAGATGGCCTATTGTGGGACATTGTGATCTTGTGTTAATACTTAATAAACTTCCTTTTATATACATATACACACATATGTATATATATATGTATATATATATATTCCATTAGTTCTGTCCCTCTAGAGAACTCTGACTATACAGATTTTGGTACCAGGTGTGGTTCTAGAAGAACAGAATATTAAGGATGGAGTTCTTTCATTGGTTTTGGGGTTTCTGGAGTTGGCTGCTTAATATAATTAGACCCCAAATTCTAAGGACTCTACTTCTAATAGTATGGAGAACATTGATAGTTCTTGGTGTGAACTGTTTACAGAATTATGCAAAATAAATGCATTTGACACTGCTGATCCACTGCTTGTGAGAGGCGAGTTTAGTGACTCTATACATAATACCTTTGACGACATGTGGAGAACCAAGGAACATAACGAAGCTGGTTGGTTGATCCTAAGTTCACTGGACAAAGTGATAAAAGAAAATGATGAACTCAGGGATTCTAACTGGATTCAGAGGCAGATACTGAGCCTCAAATCTACTAAGATTGCCCTGAGTGAGAGTCTTATCTCCTGTAGAGAAAGAGCTGAAATTGTGAAAAAACAGACACAAGCTCTTCTTATGAGAGTGGCTGACCTGTAATAAAAGGTGAATGCACAGCCTCACTAGGTACCTACTGTTAAAATGAGGACATTGATTGGAAAAGAACGGGACCCTAAAACTTGGAATGGGGATGTGTGGGAGGACCCTGATGAAGCTGGAGACACTGAGTTTGTAAACTCTGATGAAACTTTTGCCAGAAGAAAAAGCTTCCCCATCCCCAGTAGTGGCAACATCCCTCCCTGACCCATGCTGCCATCAGCCTTCCCACCTTTGTCTAAGGAGGTGAACCCTGCGCTGCCTGAGGCAACAGTGGTGGCCTCCCCAAGAGAGTTGTCAGGCAAGATAATGTTGATTCTCCCCAGGAGCCACCCCCAACGTTCCTGTTTTCTTCTAGACCTATAAATAGACTGAAGTCCCAGGTGGACAGTGTGACCCATGAGGAGGGTGTGCTACACTCGAAAAGACCTGCTTGAGTTTTTAAATTTATATAAACAGAAATCTGAAGAACAGGCATGGGAATGGATATACAGGGCGTGGGATAATGATGGAAGAAACACAGAGTTGGATAGGGTGAATTTATTGATTTGGGCCCATTAAATAGGGACTCTGCTTTTAATGTTGCAGCTCAGGGAGTTAAAAAGGTTCTAATAGTTTATTTGTTTGGTTAACTGAAATATGGATGAAAAGATGGCCAACTGTGAGTGAGCTGGTCTCCCTTGGTTTAATGTAGAGGAAGGGATCCAAAGACTTAGAGAGATTCGGATGGTGAAGTGGATTAGTCACTTTAGACCTACTCATCCCAGCTAGGAGGTTCCAGATGATATACCCTTGACCAATGACTTGCAAAATAGATTTGTGAGGGCAGAACCTGCATCTTTGAAGTGCCTTGTAATTTCTGTCCTCTGTGTGTCAGATCTAATACAGTCACTCAACAACAAAATTTAAATAGAATGGGAAATATTGGATCCTGAGGTGGCAGGGGCCAAGTGGAGGCACTCAACTATCAAAGGCAAGGTTGGCATAGCTACTCTAATGGACAGAAAAGTTAAAGCAGCTATCAGAATAGTCTGACTTGTGTAGAGCTCTGCCATTGGCCAATTAATATGGTGTTCCTAGAAGCAAAATTGATAGAAAGCCTACTGCATTCCTGCTTAATTTATATAAGCAGAAAACTGCTAGGTTGAATGGGCAAAAACGAATTTGAATTATAAAAACAGAGAATCATGGCTCTTCAATTAATTTCCAGACTTGAGCCAGTTTGTAGGCCCAGAACCCCTTGAATGAAGAGGAGACCGTGTCTCCTTGAGGAAGGACTCCACTACACTACTGACAGTTTATGCTGTTAATCTTTCTCCCATTTCCCTCCGCCCGGCACCCCAAGGAGACCTCCAGCCTTTTACAAGGGTAACTGTGCATTGGGAAAAGGGAAATAATCAGACATTTTGGGGACTACTGGACATTGGTTCTGAGCTGATGTTGATTCCAAGGGACCCAAAACATCATTGTTGTCCTCCAATTAAAGGAAGGGCTTATGGAGGTCAGGTAATTAATGGAGTTTTAGCTCATTAGACTTATAATGGGTCCTGTGGGTCCTCAGACTCATCCTGTAGTCATTTCCCCAGTGCCAGAATGCATAATTGGCATAGACATACTTAGCAGCTGGCAGAACCCTTACATTGGCTCCCTGACTGTTAGGGTAAGGGCTATTATGGTGGGAAAGGCCAAATGAAAGCCATTAGAGCTGCTTCTATCTAGAAAAATAGTAAATCAAAAACAATATCACATCCCTGGAGGGATTGGAGCGATTACTGCCACCATCAAGGACTTAAAAGATGCAGGGGTGGTGATTCTCACTACATCCCCATTCAACTCTCCCATTTGCTCTGTGCAAAAGACAGATAGATCTCGAAGAATAACAGTGGATTATTGTCAGCTTAACCGAGTGGTGACTCCAATTGCAGTTGCTGTCCCAGATGTGGTTTTATTGCTTGAGCAAATTAACACATCCCCTAGTACCTGGTATGCAGCCATTGACTTAGCAAATGCCTTTTTCTCCGTTCCTGTCCATAAGGCCCACCAGAAGCAATTTGCCTTCAGCTGGTAAGGCCAGCAATATACCTTTATTGTCCTACCTCAGGGGTATATCAACTTTCTGGCTTTGTGTCATAATCTTATTCGGGGAGATCTTGATTACTTTTCATTTCTGTAAGATATCACACTGGTCCATTACATTGATTACGTTATGCTGATTGGATCCAGTGAGTAAGGAGTAGCAAACACACTGGACTTATTGGTGAGACATTTGCATGACAAAGATGGGAAATAAATCTGTCTAAAATTCAGGGACTTTCTACCTTAGTAAAATTTCTAGGGGTCCAGTGGGGTAGGGCCTGTTGAGATATTCCTTGTAAAGTGAAGGATAAGTGGCTGCATTTGGCCCTTTCTACAAGCAAGAAAGAAGCACAATGCCTAGTGGATCTATTTGGATTTTGGAGGCAACACATTCCTCATTTGGGTGTGTTACTCCAGCCCATTTATCGAGTGACCTGTAATGCTGCCAGTTTTGAGTGTTGCCCAGAACAGGAGAAGGCTCTGCAACAGGTCCAGGCTGCTGTACAAGCTGTTCTGACAGTTGGGCCATATGCCCCAGCAGATCCAATGGTGCTTGAGGTGTCAGTGACAGATAGGGATGCTGTTTGGGGCCTTTGGCAAGCCCCCCTAGGAAAACCAAAGTGGAGGCCCATAGGAATTTGGATCAAGGCCCTGTCATCTTCTGCAGATAACTACCATCTTTTTGAGAGACAGCTTTTGGCCTGTTACTGGGCTTTGGTGGAGACTGAACATTTGACTATGGGTCATTAAGTCACCTTGTGACCAGAACTGCCTATCATGAACTGGGTGCTTTCTGATCCATCTAGTCATAAAGTGGGTCATGCACAGCAGCATTCCATCATTAAATGGAAGTGGTATATATGTGACTGGGCTCGAGCAGATCCTGAAGACACAAGTAAGTTACATGAGAAAGTGGCTCAAATGCCCATGGTCTCCACTACTGCCACCCTGCCTTCTCTCACCCAGCCTGCACTGATGGCCTCATGGGGAATTCCCTATGATCAATTGACAGAGGAAGAGAAGACTAGGGCCTGGTTCACAGGTGGTTCTGTACAATATGCAGGCACCACCCAAAGGTGGAGAGCTTAGGCACTACAACCCCTTTCTAGGACATTCCTGAAGGAGAGCAGTGAAGGAAAATCTTCCCAATGGGCAGAACTTTGAGCAGTGCACCTAGTTGTGCACTTTGTAAGGAAGGAGAAATGTCCAGATGTGTGATTATATACTGATTCATGGGCTGTAGCCAATGGTTTGGCTGGATGGCCAGGGACTTAGAAGAACCCATGATTGGAAAATTGGTGACAAAGAAATTTGGGGAAATGGTATGGGGATGGACCTCTCTGAGTGTTCAAACACTGTGAAGACATTTGTATCCCATGTGAGTGCTCAGCAACAGGTGACCTCAGCAGAGGAGGATTTTAATTATCATGTGGATAGGATGACCTGTTCTGTTGATACCACTCAGCCTCTTTCCCCAGCTATCCCTGTCATTGCCCAATGGGCCCATGAACAAAGTGGCCATGGTGGCAGGGATGGAGGTTATGCATGGGCTCAGCAATGTGGACTTCCACTCACCAAGGCTGACCTGGCTATGGCCACTGCTGAGTGCCCAATTTGCCAGCAGCTGAGACCAACACTGAGCCCTCGATATGACACTATTCCTCGTGGTGATCAGCCAGCGACCTGATGGCAGGTTGATTATATTGGAACTCTTCCATCATGGAAAGGGCAAAGGTTTGTCCTCACTAGAATAGACACTTACTCTGAATATGGGTTTGCCTAACCTGCACACAATGCTTCTTCCAAGACTACCATCTATGGACTCACGGAATGCCTTATCCACCATCATGCTATTTCACACAACATTGCCTTTGACCAAGGCACTTACTTTAAAGCTAAAGATGTGTGGCAGTGGGCTCATGCTTATGGAACTCACTGGTCTTACCGTGTTCTCCATCATCCTGAAGTAGCTGAATTGATAGAACAGTGTAATGCTCTTTGAAGTCACAATTACACACCAACTAGGTGACAATACTTTGCAGGGCTGAGGCAAAGTTCTCCAGAAGGCCTTGTATGTTCTGTATCAGTGTCCAATATATGGTACTCTTTCTCCCATAGTTAGGATTCATGGGTCCAGGAATCAAGAGGTGGAGATGGAAGTGGAACCACACACTATAACCCCTAGTGAACCACTAGCAAAATTTTTGCTCCCTGTTTCCATGACATTACATTCTGCTCACCTAGAAGTCTTAGTTCCAGAGGAAGGAATGCTGCCACCAGGAGATACAATGATTCAATTAAACTGGAAGTTAAGGTTGCCATCTGGACACTTTGGGCTCCTCCTACCTTTAAGTCAACAGGCTAAGAAGGGAGTTACAGTGTTGGCTGGGGTGATTGACCCGAACTATCATGATGAAATCAGTCTACTACTCCACAGTGGAAGTAAGGAAGAGTACACATGGAATACAGAAGACCCATTAGAGTGTTTCTTAGTATTAATCATACTTTGTGATTAAGGTCAAAGGGAAACTACAATAGCCCAATCCAGGCAGGATTACAAATGGCCCAGACTCTTCAGGAATGAAGGTTTGGTTCACTCCACCAAGTAAAAAACATGACCTGCTGAGGTGCTTGCTGAAGGCAAAGACAATACAGAATGGGTAGTAGAATAAGGTAGTCATCAATACCAGCTATGACCACGTGACCAGCTGCAAAAATGAGGACTGTAATTGTCATGAGTATTTCCTCCTTCTTTTGTTAAAAACGTGTTTGTGAATACATACACTTGTACTAAGAAAATATCTTCATTTTATTTTTTTCTTTATCATATGACATAAGATTTATTGACTTCATATCAATACTTAAGTGTTGTTAACTTTATATAATAGTATTTCGGTTGGGGATTGATGCATTTCTGGTTGTACCAAGGATAGCTGCATTATGTTAGGCATAATTATAACCTTATTATTGTCTTTATTTGAAGACTATGTATGATCTCAGGAGATGTGTATGGGTTCAAGTTGACAAGGGGTGGACTTGTGATGGTTAATACTGAGTGTCAACTTGTTAGATTGAAGGGTACAAAGTATTGCTCCTGGGTGTGTCTGTGAGGGTGTTGCCAAAGGAGATTAACATTTGAGTCAGTGAGGTGGGAAAGGAAGACCCACCCTTAATCTGGGTGGGCACCATCTAATCAGCTGACAATGTGGTTAGAATATAAAAAGCAGGAAGAAAAAAGTGAAAGGTCTAGACTGGCCTAGCCTTCCAGCCTACATCTTTGTCCCATGCTGGATGCTTCCTGCCTTCGAACATCAGACTTTAAGTTCTTCAGTTCTAGGACTCGGATTGGCTCTACTTGTTTCTCAGCTTGCAGACTGCCTATTGTGGGACCTTGTGAACATGTGTGTTAATATTTAATAAACTCCCCCATATATATACACACATATATGTGTGTGTATATATACATATATATACACACACACACATTATACATATACTCTGTCTATATATAAAGTATATATATATATACTATTAGTACAATAGTATATTATATACATACACAAACACACATATAATACATATATTAGTTCTGTCCCTCTAGAGAACCCTGACTAAGGCACCTTATTTGAAAATAGGGCCTTTACAGAGGCAATCAAGTTAAATGAGGTTATCAAGTTAAAATGAAGTCATTAGAGTGGGGTCTCATTTAAAACAACTGGTTTCCCTAGGAAATTTGTACTCATAAATATAAACAGAAGGAAACCAACATGTGAAATAAAAGCAGAGAACAGAGTAATAAATCTTTAAGATATGGAATGCCAGAAACGATCAGAAAACTATCATAAGTTAGGAGAGAGACACAGAACAGATTTTCCCTCACAGTACTCAGAGGGAACCAACCCTGCTGACATATTTTAATCTTGAACTTCTATCCTCCACAACTGTGACACAATATATCTCTGTTGTTGAGGCCAACCAGTTTGTGACAGTTTGTTGTGGCAGCTCTAGCAAAAAAATACAGCATGTATTTATATATTTTATATAAACTAAGCTTGTTTTATGTGTTATTGTTTATTTCCCTTTAAATTAGAGAAAATTAATGCAGTGCTTTTTAAACTTTAGTGTGAAAAATTTATTTCATGGCCATATCAAAACAACTCAATTTGGCTGATTTCACTGAAAAAATAATGATTTAAGCCAATATAATGAATTTACTCTCCTATTGACATAATCTGTGAAAAAAAATTGATCATTTAAAAACAAACTACCTCATATTTTCCATAATTTTATTTTGTTATTTTTTGTCTCAAGACATAAAGTTGGAATAGATATTAAATTCTTTAATTGAAATGCACATGTATTGTGTGCTTTATTAAAGGTGTAAAACTGGGCATGCCCAAATGGCCATGAAGAAATTGGAAACAATCATGGTTATGTTTATCACACCATTAATATCATACTTTAATGCCACTATTAATGAAAACTGTAGTTTTATTTGGTAATATTTAGGGTTATGAGAAGAAGAAAGAGATGGTTGCTTAGATACGGCTAATTTGAAGTGATTATTTTAAAATTATATTAAAAAATGTAGATAATAGGAATTAATACCTTAGTTTTCTGAATGTAAAAACAGTTGTGTCTTAAGAATAGTTGACCTTCTAAACAAGTGTTTCTGCAGTTTTTCTCTCACAAACCATTAGCTTTAATAGTTGCTACTTTGAAAAATTATGAATCGTCATACCCTACTGGGTTGATTTTTTTTGGTAAGAACTAATTTTATAAATATATAACTTTGGCCTTATGTAAGATAAATGAACTTTATTGAAAATGTAATACCCATGGGAATATAACTCCATTAGCTTGGGAATTATACCCCCAGCCCCCACAGCAGCTGCAGCAAGCCCTGCCCAAGGAAAGTCTGGGCTCAGACATGCCTATCTCTGCTTCCACCTGGTATTCTTTCTCCACCCACCTTGTTTGCTGAAGACAAAGGACATCATTTCTTGGGAGGTCCGTGGCTCTTCCCACCACCTGAGAAATCTGAATACTTAACCAGTTGACCCTAGGGCAAGTTTGCATCCTCCTTATAGTACCACACCTGATGGGCTCTTGAAAGCACCACCTCCTGGCTAGTGACCAACCAACACAAAACCAGCATACTAAACAAAAAAATACAACCAAGGACCCTCACGGATTCCACTTTACTACCCAGCTGCCTCCACTGGAACAGGTGCTGGTATCCATGGCTGCAAGATTTGAAGACAGATCACATCACGGGACTCTTTGAAGATAATTTCCAGTACCAGCCTGGAGGCCGGTAGCTCTGCTGGGTGGCTAGAGGAGCAAAAACAATCACTGTAGTTTGGCCCTCAGGAAGCTCCATCCTTAGGGGAAGAGGGAGAACACATCAAGGGAGCACCCCATGGGACAAAAGAATTTGAACAGCAGCCCTTGAGTCCCAGCTCTTCCTTGTGACCTAGTCTACCCAAATGAGAAGAAACCAGAAAAGCAATTCTGGTAATATGACAAAACAAGGTTATTTAACACCCCCAAAAGATCACACCAGCAATGGATCTAAGCCAAGACAAAATCACTGAATTGACAGAAAAGGATTTCAGAAGGTTGATTATTATGCTAATCAAGGAGGCACAAGAGAAAGGGAAGTTCAACTTAAATAAATAAAAAACATGATATAGGATATAAAAGGAAAATTATTCAGTGAAATAGAGAGCATAAATAAAAAAATCACAATGTCTGGAAATCAAGGACACGGAGAAATGCAAAATGCACTGGAAATTCTCAGCAAAAGAATCAAACAAGCAGAAGAAAGAACTTCAGAACTCAAAGACAAGGCTTTTGAATTAACCCAATCCCTCAAACAAAATAAAAAATAATAAAAAAAATGAACAAAGCTTCCAAGAAATTTGGAACTATGTGAAACATCCTAACCTAAGAATAATTGGTGCTCCCAAGCAAGAAGATAAATCTGAAAGTTTGGATAACATATATAAGAGAATAATCAAGGAAAACTTCCCCATTCTTGCTAGAAATCTAGACATCCGAATACAAGAAGCTCAAAGAACACCTGGGAAATTCATCATAAGATCATCACCTAGGCACATAGTCATTAGGTTATCTAAAGTCAAGACAAAGGAAATAATCTTAAGAGCTGTGAGGCAAAAGCATCAGGAAACCTATAAAGAAAAACCTATCAGATTAACTGCAGATTTCTCAGCAGAAACCCTACCAGCTGGAAGGGATTGGGGCCCTATTTTTAGCCCCCTCAAGCAAAACAATTATCAGCTAAGGATTTTGTTTCCAGTGAAACGAAGACTCACAAATGAAGAAAAGATGCAGTCTTTTCCAGACAAACAAATGCTGAGAGAATTCGCCACTACCAAGCCAGCACTATAAGAACTGCTAAGAGGAGCTCTAGATTTTGAAATAAATTCTCAAAATACACAAAAATAGAACCTTCTTAATGAATAAATCTCACAGGACCTATAAAACAATAACACAACAGAATAAACAAGGTATTCAAGCAACAAATAGCATGATGAATAGAATATTACCTCATATCTCAATGCTAATGTTGAATGAGAATTCACCAATCAACTTTCTGCTGTCTCAGGAGACTCACCTAACACATAGGACTCACATAAACTTAAGGTAAGGGGATGGAAAAAGATATCCCATGCAAATGGGCACCAAAAGTGAGCCAGAGGAGCTATTCTTATATCAGACAAAATGAACTTTAAAGCAACAGCAATTAAACAAGACAAAGAAGGACATTATATAGTGATAAAATGACTAGTTCAACAGGAAAATATCACAGTTCTACATATATATGCACCTAACACTGGAGCACCCAAATTTATAAAACAATTACTACTAGGCCTAAGAAATGAGATAGATGGCAACTCAATAATAGTGGGCAACTTTAATGCTCCACTGACAGCACTAGACGCTCATCAAGACAGAAAGTCAATGAGGAAACAATGGACCTTAAACTATACCCTAGAACAAATGGATTAACAGATATTTACAGAACATTCTACCCAACAACTGCAGAATATACATTCTATTCATCGGCACATGGAACATTCTTCAAGATAGACCATATGATAGGCCACAAAAGAAGTCTCAGTAAATTTAAGAAAATCAAAATTATATCAAGTACTCTCTCTGACCACAGTGGAATAAAATTGGAAATCAACTTGAAAAGGAACCCTCAAACCTTGCAAATACATGAAAATTAAATAACCTATTCCTGAATGATCATTGTGTCCACAGTGAAATCAAGATGGAAATTAAAAAGTTCTTTGAACTGAATGATAATAGTGACAAAATCTATCAAAACCTCAGGGATACAACAAAAGTGGTGGTAAGACAAAAGTTCATAGCATTAAATGCCTACATCAAAAAGTCTGCAAGAGCACAAGAAGACAATTAAGGTCACACTTCATGGAACTGGAGAAAGAAGAACAATCCAAGCCCAAGCCTCCTGAAGAAAAGAAATAACAAAAATCGGAGCAGACCTAAATGAAATTGAAACAACAACAACAGCAACAACAATGAAAATTACAACAGATAAATGAAACATAGTGCTGGTTCTTTGAAAAGATAAATAAAATTCGTAGGCCATTAGTGACACTAACAAAGAAAAGAAGAAAGAAGATCCAAATAAGGTCAATTAGAAATGAAATGGGAGATATTACTACTAATACTGCAGAAATACAAAAGATTGTTCAAGGCTACTATGAACACCTTTACATGCATAAACTAGAAAACTGAGAGGAGATGGATAAATTTCTGGAAATATAACAGCCTCCTAGATGAAACCAAGAAAATATAGAAACTCTGAAGAGACCAATAATAAAAGTCACAAGATCGAAAAGGTAATAATAAAATTGCCAAAAATAGAAGGCCAGGACCAGATTCATTCACAACTGAATTCTATCAGACATTCAAAGAATTGGTACCAATTTTATTGACACTATTCCACGGGAGAGTGAAAGGAGGAATCCTCCCTAAATAATTCTTTGAAGCCAGTGTCACCCTAATACCAGAACCAGGGAAGACATAACAAAAAAAGAAAACTACCGACCAATATCCCTGATGAACACAGTTGCTAAGCTATGAGAATGCAAAGGCATAAGAATGATACAATAGACTTTGGGGACTTGGGGGGAAGAGAGGGAGGGGGACAAGGGATAAAAGACTACAAATGTGGTGCAGTGTATACTGCTCAGGTGATGGGTGCACCAAAATCTCACAAATAACCACTAAAGAACTTACTCATGTAACCAAATACCACCTGTACCCCAATAACTTATGGAAAAAAGAAGAGGCAAATAAAATAAAGTGATAAATGTAAATACTGTAGAGTTTTATAAAATATGTGTGACACATTGTTAAATGAGGAATAAAACTGTAAATGGTTTCCCCTTACTTTTTTAATGTAGTATTTTTCAATTTTAAGGTGCAGAAGACTCAGCAGAGACACTTATTAAAAATGCTCACCCAGAGATTTTTATTCAGTTGGTCTTGTGTAGGTCCTGAGCCTGCATTATATTTTTAGGAGAATAAATGAGTATCTTCTTTCCCCTTTATTTTTGTTTTGTTAAAAGAAAACCTTTTATCATGAAAAATGTCAAATACATACATTAGTAGAGGTGATAATTTAAAAAATCTCCATGAACCCACTACCTAGATATATAGCAATATTTATCATTTGTCTAAACTTTTCATTTATCTTAGCCTTTACTTTTGGCAGTCTGAATTTTTGCAAGGCACTTAACATAAACCTGCCTTAAAATTAAGAATGAATGATAATGTGTTCCCACTGAAGCAAAGCACAGAGTTTGAAAATTAAAAGTCAGAATCTTCAAATATAAAAACTGTGGCCAAACACATGGAACCAATTAGAAGCTAAGAGATAAGAAGCCTAATATATTTTTAGGGAACTGTCTTGCCAGAAAACCCACAAATTTTTCCTGCAACAGCCAGTGCCTTACCTTCTAAAACAATCTGTGGTTTGTTCAATAAGTACCAACAAGGGCTGGAAATTGTGTAAGCACCAGAAAGAAAGTACTCCCAGGAACCCACCTCTGTCCCCCCTGAACCAGAGGCCATGGAAAACAATGAACCAAGGAGATCCTCTTAGAGGAATTAACAGGAGTTTCCCACTGGCTAATTAGGCACTCACTTCATGCCAGGACTGGGACCTTTTCTTACTCCTGCCCGACAGGACCAGAGATTACCATGTTTCCCTACTCTCACTCTTTCTGTTAAGAAGGTGTTTTTGTGTGTGTGTGTGTGCATGTGTGTCCTTCAGGGTATCTTATTCCTTCATAACCATTGTTTGTCAATCTTGAGTATAGGTAACATATTTTAGTCTACAGGTTGCCTGACCATAAAACAACCCCTTAGGACCCAATGGAAGAGAATGAGTGTTAACTAGAGGTTCTGGATATTGGTATGGATGCTGCAACTGAATATAACATTGGGGCTACTTGTTTAAGGAAGGACAAAGTGTGTGTTCTTCTTATAGGAAAAGAGGGCATGAGTGCTTGATTGGACAAAGAGGGAACTTTATCTATACCATGTCTATTCTTTCCTTCATTACTAACATAACATTGGAAATTTTTCAGCAGCCCTGGATATAGAGGTGGCCAATGAGATGTACATGTAAGCTTTGGAAAATTCTTGGTACAGTTACTTGAAATGTAGACAGGATGGTTTAAGCTTTAGTAGTTAAATTAAATCAATATTGACCTTGTGAATGGAAGCCACATACTAAGAATGGAAAAACGAAAGAAAGAGCTTGGGTCCGTGATAATACTTGTATGTCAGTTATCACATGGCCATAAAGACATACCTGAGCCTGTGTAATTTATAAAGAAAAGAGGTTGAATTGGCTAATGGTTCTGTGGGCTGTACAGGCTTCTGCTTCTGGAGAGGCCTCAGGAAACTTACAATCATGACAGAAGGGGAAGGGGAAGTAGGCATGATCTTCACATGGCTGGCAGGAGAGAGAGAGAGAGTGAAAGAAAGAAAGGGAAGGGGGAGGTGCTATACACTTTTATAAATAATCAGATCTTATGAGAACTCTATCGTAAGACAGAACTAGGAGGATGGTGCTAAATCATTAGAAACCACCCTTATGGCCCAATCACCTTCCACAAGGCCTCACCTCCAACACTAGAAATTACAATTCAACATGAAATTTAAGTGGGACACATAGACAAGCCATATCTGTACCCAAATGCCTTAACAGTCCTAGATCTCTTATGTCCAGATTTCTTTTACATAAAGGATGAAATTCTAATTTGCTTAATTCTGGTCTCTGTTGTTAGCAATAAGATGCAATCTGTGGTACATCTATTAATCTTCATTGCCTATATTCCTGTTTGTAATTTTTATTGATCATTAAGAATGCTTCACATATTAAAGAGAGTGATACTTTTTTGCTACATGTATAGATTTGTTACATATATGTGTGCATGTATATATATACATATATATGTATATATATAGAGAGAGAGCAAGAGGAATGAAATATTTTTCTCAATTTTATCTTTCAATTTTGTTCTTAGTACTTTTGACATACAATGGTAACAGATTTTATGTAATCAAATCTCTCTTTTAATAGCTTCTGTCTTCAGGTTCATAGTTACAAGGTTCTTTCCCATGGACAGGTTATAAGGCTATGTACCCATTGTATTAGTAAGGGCAGACTATGTCATGCTGCAGAAACAAATAGACTTCAGTATCCTAGTAAATTAGTAGAGTAAAAGTTTACATTTTCTTCAAACAAGATCTGACGTGGGTGAGGCAGTTCTCAATCTTGTAAGTGTGCCATCTGGAACACAGGGCTTACAAACTACTACAAAAAAGGAACAGATAAATAGAGGCAGGATATAGATCCTTTATTATCTTGGCCTAGAAATGACATAAGCTATTTCTGTTCACACTTGGTTAGACAGAGAAGATCACATGACCCATACCTAACTAGATGTGAGGTTCCACAATATGGAGGATCATAGGGATATTTGATGTGCACCAGGAGACAATGTTACACCACTTTTTCTTTCCTTTCTTTAGTTCTTTAATCCATGAGTTAATTCACTATTGTACACATCTGGCAGGGATCTGTGGTGGTTGATTTTATTCAGATACACACTTCAAGATTGTCCTTTCTACCACTGCTTGCCTTAACTAAGAAAATTATTGCTCCTCAAGATTTTGCTTTTCTGGGATTGCATGATAAATGTAGATACCTATCCACTTAGTGCTAATGAATAGGGATATTCCCTGTATATGGAGAAACTTGTTTGGTTTATCACTCTTCATTATTTCCCACAAAAAAAGGTAAGGCAATTTGTCTAGCTGTCAGAGACTTGTTAGGAACATGTTTCTACACGTTGATTTTCTTGCATATCTTGTACCTCTTCATGTCATTTGGCAGAGAGAATAAATAACTGGAGATAATGTTCACCACTATCCCCTGAGTGCACGAGCGCACCTCTGCCACTGTTTTGTAGCCATCTATGCTCTACTGGTAACACTATTCATAATCACAGTAAACATGAGCCCTTTACTTGTAGACAAGTCAGAAACAGCCATGATTCCATCAGCAGTCTTTATGAGTTACAGTTTGGGATATATATAAAGTAAATTTAGCAGCAGATCCCTTTGGATTGCTATGTTTATGATGTAATGTCAGAGACCTCAATACATTTTGGCAAACCACATTTCCATTATAATACAGCTAAAAACTGAGGGCACCACATAGGACAATTTTTACTTTGCTTTTTTTGTGATAGAGAAGGAATGTTTAGGGATAGCTGACATGGTAGTTCAACCTATTGGCAGAGCAATCTATCAATGATTTCTTCTACAATAGTTACAGATTTGCAGTTGGTTATAGAATATGTCCTTTTGTTTAGAACTACTAATCCCTCTTTTTATGTAAGAGAAACCAGGGAGGAAAATTGTCTTCATTTTAGAAATATTGATCTACATGAATTATAGGAAGGAAGATAGATGATTTAGTGCCCCAATATGTGTGAAAAAGTATACTGATATTCCTCTAGGATGGCATGTTTTAGCACAAGCTTGGGAGCATCGCTAGAGTTTAATTTCTTGACAGTTGCATCCAGATCAGGGGCCCTATACCATTTTCCATAGACTAGGGATTATGGTGAAATCCTACACTCTCACACAAGAGTTCCCTGATTAAAGGTTTTGGAAAACTTACTGCATAGTTTGGTCACATGAACACTGATGTCTGTATAGTTCCTGATGCCCCTAAGTGGTTCATTTCCCTGTGTATTTGAAAAATTACACATCAACTTTTTCATTGGCTCATTTGTTTTTTTTTCTGCTGTATAATATTTTGATTATAATTGCTTTGCAGTATGTTTTAGCATTTAGGAGGTCAATTCTCCCTCTTTATTTTCTTTTCATATTTGGCTTAGGAATCTGTGGACTTTTAGTCTTTCATATACCTTTTAGAATGATTTTTGAGTTCCCCAAAGGAAGGTTCATTCATAAAAATAATAGAAAAGTTAAAAACTAGCATTCATATGGCTCTATGAGCTAGGGATTTTTCTAAGCATTTTTACATAAAATGTTAATTCCCTTCCCCATCACAAAAACTTTACAATCAAATGCTTTTATTATCTGATATTGTTTCAGATGAACAAATAAAGGTACAGAAAAAGTAAATAGTTTGACCAAAGTTACTCAGTTAATAATTGATATGACTGGGATTCAAACTCAGACCCTTTGTATCCAGATGTATACTTTAACCACTGTGCTAAATGGAATAGTTCCACTTTTTAAAATTTTTGCTACTTTTTAGTATAATTTTAGTTGTTACCTTTAGTGGCATCTCATTTTGTATTGCATTATTTGTTTGATTGTGGGAGTTTTATATACATTTTAGTTACCTTATCAATAACATACATTACCAACACTTTCTTCTAGATTGTAACTTGTCTTTTAACCCTCTATGTATATTTTGTATCTAATTTTAAATTTTAATATAGTCTAATTTATTAACATTTAAAAATACGATTTACACATTTTCTTCTTCTGCCTAAGGTTACAAAGTTGTTCTGTATATTTTTTTCTTTTCTTTTTTTTTTGTGAGACAGAGTCTCATTCTGTCACCCAGGTTGGCATACAGTGGTACAATCATGGCTTACTACAGCCTCAACCTCCTGGGCTCAGCTGAACCTCCTGCCTCAGCCTCCTGGCTAGCTGGGACAACAGACATACACTACCATGCCCAGCTAATTTTTGTATTTTTTGTAGAGATGGGGTTTCACCATGTTGCCCAGGTTGGTCTCAAACTCCTGGACTCAAACCATCTGTCTGCCTTTGCTTTCCACAGTGCTGGGATTACAGGCATGAGCCACTGCTTTTGCATATTTTCTTAGAAAATTTAAAAAATTACTTTCTATAATTGGTCTTTAATTCTTTGGACTTTGTAGACTTTGGCAAAACAAAGAAAAAGAGAGAGGAAGGACAATTTTTTAAAAACTTAAATAATATTTATCAAATTCCTGTACCCAACACTATCACCCTTTTCTTTTTCTTTTTTTTTTTATTATTATACTTTAAGTTTTAGGGTACATGTGCACAATGTGCAAGTTAGTTATGTATGTATACATGTGCCATGCTGGTGCGCTGCACCCACTAACTTGTCATCTAGCATTAGGTATATCTCCCAATGCTATCCCTCCCCCCTCCCCCCACCCCACAACAGTCCCCAGAGTGTGATGTTCCCCTTCCTGTGTCCATGTGTTCTCGTTGTTCAATTCCCACCTATGAGTGAGAACATGCGGTGTTTGGTTTTTTGTTCTTGTGATAGTTTACTGAGAATGATGATTTCCAATTTCATCCATGTCCCTACAAAGGACATGAACTCATCATTTTTTATGGCTGCATAGTAGTATTCCATGGTGTATATGTGCCACATTTTCTTAATCCAGTCTATCATTGTTGGACATTTGGGTTGGTTCCAAGTCTTTGTTATTGTTAATAATGCCGCAATAAACATACATGTGCATGTGTCTTTATAGCAGCATGATTTATAGTCCTTTGGTTATATACCCAGTAATGGGATGGCTGGGTCAAATGGTATTTCTAGTTCTAGATCCCTTTTCAAAGGGCTTATTTTATTTAACAATATACTGTGACCATTCTCTGTTATTAAAGAATACCTATCATTTCTTATATAATGTCATTATAATATGATATCCTTAAGAATTACATGGTGGAAGAATAATTACTAAAGTGTGAGGTTGGGGTACTTATTTCATTAGCACTGCACTTACCTGGCTATGGATTGGCAGTGCCTTCGTATGCCCCTGTCCTACAGTCACAGCTACAGCTACATCTAGAGGCAGGCACATATAACTGCTCTCTCTCTTTGTGCTTCCAGGCCAAGGGGGGTAAAGGCTCCTCACTATTGCTATCTTTAGGGTGCTTCATCATCCTTTGTTAGTTTCCTTTAAACTCGTATACCTCCTTATATGTCATTCCTTCATATACTCTTATTACTTACTCTATTTCAGTGGTCATCTTTTTCTTACCAGATGTCTCATGTGTAGCTACAGAGGAAGGTTGCTGGACAGTAACTGTGACTTTTGAATACAAGCACATGGAGAGTCAGGGAGGGAGCCAGATAGAGAAATATATATCTTTCCTCTTGCTTTCCAATCTCTCCTTCATGTTTCCCTGGCCAAACCCACCCAAAAGCTGAAATACAAGGGAGCTCACTGATGCAGACCAGAGAAGTATCGGAGTTTACATCATGAAACATATGGAGAAATCCAGCACATGCATCAAATTCCTAATATTGGTTCCCAAATTAAAAGACAGAGATAAAAAATGTTATTGCTTACATTAACATTTCATTTTTTGTCCCAATGTAATTGAAGAAATAAAACATTAAAAAATATATTGTGATTGTAGTACCTAGGATAGAAGTTTTCTGGGGCTGTAAGAAGGAGACTGCTCAATGAACAAGAATGCAATGTGCTCTTTTCTCTTTCTCCTTAACCTTATTTTTTAAACACTCCTCTTGTTTTTATAGGGTTTTGTTGTTGTTGTGGTTTGTTTTTGAGATATAGTCTTAGTCTGTCGCCCAGGCTGGAGTGCAGTGGCACGATCTCGCCTCACTGCAACCTCTGCCTCCCAGATTCAAGCAATCTGCCTCAGCCTCCTGAGTAGCTGGGATTACAGGCGCCTGTCACCACACCCGGCTAATTTTTTCTTTTCTTTTTAGTAGAGACAGGGTTTCACCATTTTGGTCAGGCTGGTCTCGAACTCCTGACATCAAGTGATCCACTCGACTTGGCCTCCCAAAGTGTTGGGATTACAGGCATGAGCCACTGTGCTCGGCCTGTTTTTCTAGGGCTTTAAGTTCATGCTTGGATGTATAAATCTCTTTCTGTAAGAGGTAGAAGGGTGAAGGCATATTTATGGGAAAGGTATTCTTTGACTCACAAATCACCACCCAGAATTTAGGGAGATGTGTTTTCCTATTTTCAGGTTTATACAGGCCCTGTTTTGCTAAGTCAGAACATAGATATTGTGGAAAATGGTTAGTTTATTCTATCTTTGTTAAAAAAGTTAGGCTATATTTAATGAAGCAAAGCCAAGATGTGTCATGAGCATGTTTTTTTTTGTTGTTTTTTTTTTTCACCTGAGGTTCACTTTCCACTTGTCTATTTTATTTTGGAGAACTTGTTTTTTGTTTGTGGGAAACTTTACAGACAGTATAAGAATTATAATCACTAGAATCATTTATTGATTTCTTCCTATGTACTAGATATTGTGTTAAACACTGCAATGCATTTTATTTCTCTAATTGCTTATAATAATATTAGAAAGCATGTGTTTGGCCTCAGTCAATTAATTAATTTATTCTTTTTAAAAATAGGGCACTGAGCTAAAATATTCATAACTTCCAATTGACTGAAATCAGGCAATAGGATTTTCTAAGTAATTGCATTTATTTTCTATTGAAGATAATATTAAGTAAGAATCTGATATTTCTCATGCTGGTTTTTGTGTCTTCTGTTGGTGAGGTTTCTTCCTTTTGTCTCAAGAATCCGAAGGGCTGACAGAGTTTTATGCATAGTCATGTCTCTAATAAGTCATCTAAGCTTATTAATATATGAGGAGAGAGATGAGGTGCTTTTCCTGGTTGGTAGCATGAGGAATCTACTTATACTATGTCTTTAGAGCCAGTTGAGCACTTTTCTTCTTAACTCTATGTTTAGTGACATCACATTGGTAGCCATAGCAGGAGTATTTATATTGCTGAAACTGGCAAACGCTAGAAATGAGGATTTTAATTTTAATTTCATTTTATTAACTTTTTGTGTGTAAGCTATTTGCCAGCACACTAATGGTTAGAGAGAAGCCACACACCACAGTGAAAGCAGGGAGACCAGTGAAATTCTGCAGTGAGGCAAGAGATGATAGTGATCGAAGAGTGGGTGGGCATTGGTGGGTAGAGTATAATTTGAGAAATGTTTGGGAGATTAAAAAGTAATAGCAGGTGATAAAATTTGTATTGTTACATTTTACAAGAGACATAACTGAGACTCAGAAAGATTAATTTGCCTATGATCACACAAGCAAGCAAGCAATAGGGTAAAAATTCAAATCCTTACCTTCCGGATTCCAAATCAGGTAATGTTTTTTTAAATGCCTGTTGATCAACAGGAAGCTCCATTGTTCCATTCATGTGGATCACTAATAGTAATGAAGTGCTCAGAATGGCTAATTATTCTATTAGACAGATGATGTTCATGTGTTCAGGGGCATTTTTCTGCTAACTGCAGGGGTATGTGTTCTGAATCTAAATCTGACCTATATATTCTGACATATATATACTGACCTATATATATATTCTTGAAGTCAGGACAATCTATAGATTTGATACTATGCCCTCAAAACATGATGGTCTGACCCAGATAGCATTTATACTTTTTCTGGGTCATGGGCCCTGTTAATTACTTAATGAACACTATGTGAACAAACATGCAAATAATTTTGCTAACGATTTCAGCAGACTCACACATGCTGTTCCTGAAGTGTACCATTGACTTTTAGTCCAACAATACTATGCTATGATCCTCAATAATTAAACAAATTAAAGAAGCATTAAATCATTTCAATTAAATTTTTTTGTTTACACATCACCACATAAAAATACGTCTTATTTTTAAAAACCCAAAACAACTAGGTCCATACAGACACTACAGAATAAAATGTCAGTTTTCCTTGATAGTTAAAATACTGAAAATGTATAGATAAATTAAGTATAATAAAATGGCATTTTAGAACTTGAAAGGGTCTTAGAGATTTTCTAGCCCAACCCATACATTTTACAGAGGACTAGCCTCTCCTTGTTCATATAAGTAATTTATGGTAGAGCTTGGTTTAGAACCCAGATCTTCTGACTCTTAATTGAGGGAGGATTCCATGTAATAGCTACCTAATGGAGATTATCTATAAATTTCAAAAACCCAGGACAATTCATTCAAAAAATTCTGATGACATTTAAGTAAAATGATTATTAAAGTTAGGGAAGTTATTTAAGCCTCTTAATATAATAGAGAATATTAAAATAATGATATAGCTTCTAATTGCAATTCGTTTTTTGTATGGGTAAAAAATATTTTAAAAAATTAGTTTATTGAGAATTGATAACTTATAAATTAAAAAATAAAGTTACATTTTTCTTTGCCATTATATGATAAAAAGAAATATTCATATGTTTAATAAGAAAATAATGTTTACATATAGAAAAAGTACATTTCTAAATGTAAAATGCTTATTTTGTTAACATAATGTATTTTACACAAAGATGCCCTAAGTTTTTGACTCTCACTTCTTATAACATATTTTAGCTCTATTTTTTACTAGCATTATTGACAAGTTTTTCTTTCTGTGCTATTTTTAGAGTTTTTTCTTTTATATATTCTGATATGTAATTATTATATTTTAAAAATAACTTTTGTGTGCATTAAATACTGTTAAGTATTGACATACTTTATTTTTTAAAAACTAAAATGCTTAGAGATCCCCTGATTAGTAATATAATTTTTCCTTCTTTAATATGTTCAGAGAAATACTTTAATGATCAGAAGCTGACTGGATGTTACATAAACTCTTAATATTGAATTATGACAATCCAGACTAGGAATAGCAAGTAAGTTTTCATCAATGGCTGAAGCTCTCTGGTACTTTCTGAAAAATTGTTTTCTGAGACTACATCTAGGCTCAGCAGGAAGTTGATTGATTAGTGATGCCTGAAGTGGATGGAAGACAGGAGAGTACTTGCAGGCATGCCACATATTTGTCATGCCTGTTCTAAATGATTTACAAAAAAATGTAAACCTTAGTGCTCCTAAGGACAGGAAATTTTTAGTTGATAATATTTACTGATTATCATATAATTAACCAGAAAAAAAATTTTGTTTCAATGTACAGAGCTGAAAATACTTCTAGAAGTTTTAATATATATACCTGCCTTGGTAATTTCTGAGTGTAAGCATCTTATTTGATAAATCAAGATTCTGTCATACACCAGAATTATCATTTTTAGTATCAGTTTCTTAGAAATGAGATTCTTAATCTAAATGAACTCTAGAACACCCACTAGAAATCGGTTCTCTCCCATTTGTTGAATCACTTACTGGTTTCCTGATATTTTATTTTATTCAAAGTTTTCTTAGAAGAGATAACAAAGAAAAATACATGCTATTAAATAATGGCCTTGGATAATCACACTTTTAGCATAGAAGTTACTAACGTCTATGCAAGCACAAGGTGTTTACTGCCATGATTCTTTGTTCGTAGAGGCAGTCTCCTTAACAAATTGAATAATTTCAGGGGTAAAAAACACTTGGTGACAATAAAACCTTTTGGGGAAAAGTAATAGCTATACAATTATTTATATAAAAGGTGGACAGTCTTAACGCTTTATCAGAAAGCATAAATAGCTAAGATCTAGTGATACTGGAATCAATTTTAAGCCAGAGTTAAATCAAATTCCAGGTCAAAATGATAACAGTGTGGCCAGTGTGGACCCCAGTGCAGGTTTCTCAACTACATAAGGGTCAAAAGCTCCAGATTTTCAGTAAGGTATATCTGGACTTGAAGCTTTGGACAAATTATCTGGTTTTACCAATGCTTTTTCTTGATTTTCACAAGGCCAAGAGTAACTCCTATGTGAGAAAACCTTTGGAAAATTCAATATTGTATGCTGATGCTGGTGGTGAGGGGAAGCCTATCACCATTGGTCAAATAGAAACCTTTTCTTCATCTGGAGGAAGATGAGCTTCATAAAGTGTCACCAGCATTCCTAGAATATGATACTGTAAGGCAATAACAAATGAAAGAAATGTATGAAGGGTTCTATAGAATTTCTTACATCCCTTACTCTCTGTCTTGGGAGACGAAACATATTAACAATTTTGTAATATTTTATTTATTTATTTATTTATTTATTTATTTATTTTTGAGACGGAGTCTTGCTCTGTCACCCAGGCTGGAGTGCAGTGGTGCCATCTCGACTCACTGCAACCTCCTCCTCTTGGGTTCAAGCGATTCTCCTGTCTCAGCCTCGGGAATAGCTGGAATTACAGGCGCGTGCCATGACGCCCGGCTAATTTTTGTATTTTTAGCAGAGAAGGTGTTTCACCATGTTGGCCAGGTTGGTCTCGAATTCCTGACCTCAAGTAATTCACTAGCCTTGGCCTCCCAACGTGTTGGGATTACAGGTGTGAGCCACTGTGCCTGGCTAACTTTGTAATATTTCTGTTAGAGAATAGCTGAGACCCTACTTTCAGTGTCCTCCCCTGCAAAGTTCAACTGCATGTCATTACCGTCAGGCATTGAGGTTACAAAATAAGAGGTCGGTGAGGTCAGCTCACATTGGCATGATTTCTCAATTCTGGGTTCCATGACATAATGTTAGTGGCATAAAATTGTCCATGTTGGGAGTATTTATATCACAGTAATAAGCAAATGCTACCACTCATCTTCTCTGCCTCCCTTGCTCTCACTGGAGATAAGGTTTGTAGACATTTAATACCATTCCACATCAGTGAGTATACTCTAGGGATTTCCAGTCAGATTCTAAAGAAGTCCTTTGGATTGCTCAAGTCACCATAAGCATTAGAGGGAAATATACTACATTTATATATACTCCAAATATAGGCTCAATTAACCAGTCTAAGAGCACTTAATAGTCAAGACCAAGCCTTAACCTTTATCAAGAGACTGTTATATTATAGAAGCAATTAAGGCAAATGAAATCAGTTAACCTAATTTACAGAGGCCCTGACATAAAGATATGTAAATTTCAGATACCAAATACCTAGAATAGCACTATTTGTATTTATTATGTAAAATAATAAATAAATAAATACAATATTTTTACATGTACTAAAACTTGTTATTGCTACTTCATCTTCGTATAGTTCATCCTCTTAGAAAACAGACATTTAAAAAATGTTTATAGACATTGTATTGTAATGAGCTCAGACAGTCTATCATCTCATGATTGAATTTATAAAATCACTGGGAAATTTATATCTTTCTTATAAGAGTACAGGAATTTTTATCTCATACAAGGCATGAAAATGAACACACAGTATGTTCCCCAAGCAATGTGTGTTGACAGCTCCATTACATTACCCGTACGCCCAGGCACACTAAATCATGATGGGCCACTGACCTCTTCCCCTCTCTCCAACTAAAAAGCACAGTGTAAATGGATGCCCCTTTTCTACAAAAAAAGCATCATTTTTTTTTTTTCTGGGAGCAGATTACAATTCAGTGGAAACTAGTTTAAACATCATCATGTTCAGCAAGATAACACACATTCAAATGACCTTTCAGTTCTCAGGCCAGTGCCTCATTTATAGTTCACAAGGTGACTGTATGACCCACAAATGGTGTTCATTTTAGTGCTAATAGCCAACTTGTGGTTTTAGAAATTTTTAACTTTTGTTTTTTTTAAACCTATAGCATTAATGAATTGAAGATAATATTTTGTAGTCCATTTTAGTTTATTTTTACATGACTTGGGTATATTCATCTAATCCATGGAAAAATTTGTGTTCTCTATAAACTCAAACTAAACTGAAATAATTGTTTAGATAAAATATTCCTTTGTCCAAGATTATTCTGCTTTTAACACAGTAAGTGCCTAGAGAGATGCATAAATCTTTGTCAATAATATTTTATTGTCCAATTACTTTTTCTGATTACAAATCAGGAGAGTTTGGGGGAGGAAATGAAAGCTAAGAGTAATGGGTGTGGAAGTATTGAGGAAAAAAGAATTTTTTTTTCTGAATTATCCATTTTGACTACTTATATTATTTTTTTAAACCAAATTCCCAGACTTCAAGTAGAGGCTTGTATGATTCTAATTCAAAGAACAGCAAACATCTCAAATTTCTAATTTTTTTCTTGCTTAGTTCAGTATCGAGTTGTAGAAAATGATGAGAAGTGACTTTGATTCAACCACTTTTTACTTAATGAAGGGGAAATGGAGTGTTTATTATCATTTTTTCAAAGGAAACTACCCATTGGTAGTCACTGCCAAAGTCCCAAATTGTTAAAGCCATGTCCATCTGGATGCTTATACTGAACATTACACTTGTACTTATGCTTTCATAAGTTATAATAATTTTTGTATATCTGAAAAGTTTTTATTTTTAAAAGAAACTAAATGCGTCACTCATGCAATATTCCAGATGTTCATACTGGTGAACACAGAGGAGTAGGTATTTTCAAAGCTAATGAAAAGTGTATAAGTCAGGAGAGAACTGATTTCAAAAAAAAATTTTCCAAAGAGTAGAATTTTGTTGGCACTAAATTACAACTGAGTTGTGTCTACATCTGCATGGTCTGATGAATCAGTACAAAGCACACAGACATGGAATTTGTTAAGATGTGTGGCATAGTTACCACGAAAGAGGATTATCTATTCCACAGCCTTTGAAAATGTGACCATTCCCCAGGACACTGATTATGAACAAAAATAAAAAGACCAATGAATTTATTTTTAATAATACAAAATCCTTGATAACATAGAATGACAGTCTCTAGAACATCACTTCTCCTTCAGTAGCACTACTAATATGATATTCAATTACAAAACCTGTTGATATTCTTGGAGAACAGTAAACTGATGGAAAAGCACTTTAGTGTATAGTATGATGCAGACCGTGAGCAAAGAATGTAAAAGTTATGTACGGTTCAGATAGAAGAGTTAATCTTGAAAATCTGAAAAACCACAGGTGTATTGAATTGGAAGCAGCTACCAGCAGCAGGATTTAAAGGGTTGATATGTGAATTTACTGAGATGAAAGAATACTTATTTCTTATACTTGTGAAATTGCTTTCTTTTGCCCTTTGATTTAAAATACACTTAGATTCAACTCCTGATTCTCCATATGCCATTTTAAACATTTGACTGATTGTCTATGTGACTGTAATTTCTCAACTGAAAGTTGTCATGGTTTTCATTGTTTGGGCTGTAGTCTCTTTGAAAGGTGGAATACTTACTTTGGGGGGCAGTAGTATAGTCTCACCTTAGTCTCACATAGTCCATGTCTATGGAATGTGTATCTCAAATATCTGTCAATCACTGTATTATAAATTTTTGCTAAAATAGTAATAATAATGCTAGGTAACACTTATTGACCACTTGACAAGGGTGTGTCAGACAATGTACAGCCCTCTGAAGTAGGGAAGGTTATTATTATTCATTTTTACAGAAGATGGAGCTGAAACAAGAGAGTTTATATAATTTGCCCAAGGTAACACAGCTACCAAATGGCAGAAACAGGATTACAATTTGAATACTCTTTCTCCAATCTCTGTATCTTTTTTTTTTTTTTTTTTTGGAGACAGAATTTCACTTTGTTGCCCAGGTTGGAGTGCAGTGGCACGGTCTCGGCTCACTACAACCTCCACCTCCCGGGTTCAAGCAATTCTCGTGCTCAGCCTCCCGTGTAGCTGGGATTACAGGCACCCACCACAACTCCAGGCTGATTTTTTTTTTGTTGTTGTTGTATTTTAGTAGAGATGGGGTTTCACTATGTTGCCCAGGCTGGTCTTGAACTCCTGAGCTCAGGCAATCAACCCATCTCAGCCTCCCAAAGTGCTAGGATTACAGGCATGAGCCACCGTGCTCGGCCCAATCCCTGTATCTTAAACTGTTGCAGGAACACATAATAACACACAGATGAAGAGAAAGTTCTCAAATAAGTGATGTTTAAATTCTCTTTGACCTTCAAAATTTGGAGTTTCTTATTTTTGTTAATGATACTACAATTTCGCTGATCACTGAAGTTCAAAACCGTGGCCTCATCTTTAATTCTTTATCATCCATGCCTATGACTAACTAGTGACCAATTTTGGTAATTCTCCTTCTGTAATGTCTCTAGATCTGACTTTAGGCTTCCATTCCATTGCCGTATTCTTCTGCAGTGTTCTTGATCTGGATTATGAATAAATAGTTCTAGTTCTAGTCCCTTTATGCTCTAATCCATTTTCCAAAATGTTGTATTGAATCTAACTCTACTCTGCTACAGTGAGGTGGGCCTGCTGACCATTCCCTAAATATACATTGCATGTTTCCTTCAATGTATTTTTTGTTTGTTATTCTCCCCCGTCAATGTCTTACTCACACTAAAAGGAAAATCTTAAAGGGTCACTTCCTTCATGAAGCCCAAGGAGACACTCCTTTCTTCTGACTGAGGAACAGAGGGGGTTAAATAAAGGGGACTTTGTCTTGCAACTTGGGTACCAGCTCAGCCCTACAGTAGAATAGGGCACCAGGGAGAGTCCTGAGACCTGTGTACTATGTGTTCTAGGCTCTAGCTCCCAGATGACATTTATAGGCACACCTTGTGACAGAAAGGAGCCCGCTGCCTTGAAGAGAAGAACCCAGTTCCTGCAGGATTCATCATTTGCTGACTAAAGAGACCTTGGGCCTTGAATAAATATCAATGATAGCCAGGCAGCACTTGCCACAGGACTTGGGTAAGATCCAGTGCCATGCTGACTTAAGGCATGACCTAGCACATTCCAAATGGTGGTGGCTACAGGGAGACTCCTTCTGCTCAAGGAAAGGAGAGAGAAGACTTAAAGGGGACTTTGCCCTGCGCTTGGGTACCAGCTCTGCCACAGTGCAATAGAGCACCACACAGGCTTTTGGGGACCTCGATGCCAGGCATTGGCCCCTGTATGGCATTTCTGGACTTGCCCTCGGCCAGAAGGGAACCCACTTTCCTGAAGGGAGAGATCCAGGCATGCTAGCAACTTTCTGAAGACCTGGCAGCAACTGACTCAACTAACTGCAGAGCCCTTGGGCCTTGAGTGAACACCAGCGGTAGCCAGGTAGTACTCACCATGAACCTGGAGTTATAGTGACCCTGGGGAGTTGCTCCTCTGCTTGTGGAAAGGGGAGCAAAGAGAGACAAGTATTTTGTCTTGTAAGTTGGGCACGAGCTCAGCTTCAGTGGAATAGAGCACCAAGTAGAGTCCTAAGGTTGCTGACTCTAGGTCATGGCTCCCAGACAGAATTTCTAGACTTGATATGAGCTTGGGAGGGGAGCTTGCTGCCCTGAAGGGAAAGACACAAATCTATCTGGATTTACCACAACTACCTGTTGACTGAAGAGCCCTTGGACCTTGAGTGAACAGCATTGGCAGCCAGGCTGCAGTCACCACAATCCCTGTGCAAAACTCAATGTTGTGGTGGTTTCAGGACTGACCCAGAACAGTCCCAGTGGTGGTTGCCACCAGGGTGTTTGTGTCATCCCTTCCTTAGTCCCAGGCAGCTTAGGATAGAGAAAAAGGTTATTCATTTGGGGAAAAGTAATGGATGAGAACAAGAGACTATGCCTGGTAATCCAGGAATTCTCTCCGATCTCACCCAAGACCACCAAGATGGTACCTTTAGTAGTCTGTAAGAGTCACAGTGTTACTGGGCTTGGGGTACCCCCTAAGGCAGATATGTCTGCAGTAACCAAAGCCTTACATTGCAACACTCAATTTCCTCTGAATGCTTGGAAAGCCTTCCCAAGAAAGATGGGTACAAACAAGCCCAGACTGCAGAGATGACAATAAATACCCATCTCTTCAATACCCAGGTGCCATGAACATCAACAAGCATCAAGATAATCCAGGAAAATATGACCTCACCAACTGAACTAAATAAGGCACAAACAACCAATCCTAGAGTGACAAAGATACATAACCTTTCAGACAGGGAATTCAAAATAGCTGTTTTGAGGGAGATCAACAAAATTCAAGGTAAGCTAGAGGAGAAATTCAAAATTCTATCACAGAAATTTAACAAAGAGATCTAAATGTTTTAAAAATATCAAGTAGATATGCTAGAGCTGAAAAATTTAATTGACATATGGAAGAATGCATTGGGGACTGTCATTAGCAGAACTGATCAAGCAGAAGAAAGAATCAGTGAACTTGAAGACAAGCTATTTGAAAATACACAGAGGAGCAAAAGAAAAAAGGCTAAACAAGAATGAAAGATAACTACAAAACCTAGAAAATAGGCTCAAAATGGCTAATCTACCAGTTGTTGGCCTTACAGACAAGGTAGAGAGAGAGATAGGGTTAAAAATTTTATTTAAAGGGATAATAAAAGAAAACTTTCCCAATTTAGAGAAAGATATTAATATTTGAGTACAAGAAAGCTACAGGATACAAAGCAGATTTGACCCCCTTAAGACTATGCAGGACATTTAATAATCAAAATTCCATATGTCAAGGATAAGGAAAGGATCCTAAAAGCAGCAACAGAAAAGAAGCAACTAACATACCAAGTAGCTCCAATATATTTGGCAGCAGACTTCTCAGTGGGAAATTTACAGGCTGAGAGAGAGTCATGACATATTTAAAGTGCTGAAGAAAAATTCTTTTATCCTAAAATAGTATATCCAGAAAAAATATCCTTCAAACATGACGGAGAAATAAATAATTTTCCAGACAAACAAAAGATGGTGGATTTTATTAACACTGAACCTGTCCTAAAAGAAATGCTAACTGGAGTTCTTCAATCTGAAATAAAAGGATGTTAATGAGCAATAAGAAATCATTTGAAGATGCAAAACTTATTGGTAGTAGTCCACAGAGAAATACAGAACATTATGATACCATAATTGTGGTGTTTGTAAGCTATTCATATATTAAGTAGAAAGACTAAAAGAAGAACCTACCAAAAATAGTAACTACAATAACTTTTTAAGACATAGAGAGTATCGTACAATATAAACAGATACAACAAAAGGTAAAAAGTGAGAAGAAGGATGAAGTTAAGTGTAGAATTTTTATTAGTTTTTCTGTTAGTTTATTTTTGTTGCAATTAGTGCTAGGTTTTAATCAGTTTAAAATAATGGGCTATAAGATGTTATTTGCAAGTCTCATGATAACCTCAAAACAAAAAACCTACAACAGATACAAAAAAAAGAAAGAAATTAAAACATACCACTAGAAAAAATCACTTTTATAAAAAGGAAGACAGAAAGGAAGGAAGGAAAAAGGAAGGAAGGAAGGAAGGAAGGAAAGAAGGAAGGAAAAAAAAGACCACAAAACAACCCAGAAAACAACAAAATGGCAGGAGTAAGTCCTTACTAATAACATTGGGCAGGGCTTAAGCCTGTAATCCCAGCACTTTGGGAGGCCAAGGGGGGTGGATCACGAGTTCAGGAGATTGAGACCATCTTGGCTAACACGGTGAAACCCTGTTTCTACTAAAACAAAACAAAACAAAACAAAACAAAACAAAAAACAAAACATTGAATGTGAATGAACTGAACATTCCAATCAAAAGACATAGAGGGACCAAATGGGTATAAAAAGAGGACCCAGCAATCTATTGCTATAAGAAACACACTTCACCTATAAAGACACACATAAGCTAAAAACAAAGGGATGGAGAAAGATATTCCACACAAATGGAAACCAAAAAAGAACAGGAGTAATTATACTTATTAGACAAAATAGATTTTAAGAGAAAAAGTATAAAAAGAGACAAAAAGGTCGTTATATAATGATAAAAGGAGTCAATTCAGCAAGAGGATATAACATTTGTAAATATATATGCACCCAGCACTAGAGGACCCAGATATATAAAGCAAAAATTATTAGAGCTAAAGAGAGAGATATACCCCAATACAATAATAACTGGAGACTTCAAAACCCCATTTTCAGCATTGGAAAGATCATTTAGAGAGAAAATCAACAAAGAAACATAAAATGTAATTGGCACTCTAGTCCTAATGAACCTAATAGATATTTCATCAAACTATCTCATCTCATCTAAGAACATTTCATTCAATGGCTGAAGAATCCATATTCTTTTTGTCAGCATATGGATCATTTTCAAAGACAGACCATATGTTAGGCCAAAAACAAGTTCTAAAAATTATAAAAATTAAAATAATATCACATATCTTTTCTGACCACAGTGGAATAAAACTAGATATCAGTAACAGAAAAAACTTTGGAAACTATACAGACACATGGAAATTAAACAATTTGCTCCTGAATGACCAGTGAAGAAATTAAGAAGAAATCTAAACAATTTTTTGAAATAAATGTTAATGGTAACACACATATCAAAATGTATAGGTCATGGAGAAAGCAGTATTAACAGAAAAGTTAATAGCAATAAGTACCTCCATTTAAAAAGTAGGAAATTCTCCAATAAATAACCTATTGATGCATCTTAAAGAATTAGAAAAGCAAGAGCAAATGAAGCAAAAGTGGTAGAGGAAAAGTTATAATAAATATTAGAATAAAAATTTTAAAAATGAAACAATAAAAAACAACTAAAAAGTCAATAAAATGAATAGTTGGTTTTTTGAAAAGATAAGCAGAATAAACAATAATTTCGCTAGACTAAGAAAAGAGAGAGAAGACTCAAGTAAATAAAATCAGTGATGAAAAAGGAGACATTACAACTGATACCAAAGAAATCCAAAAGATCATTAGAGACTACTATGAGCAACTATATGCCAATAAATAAAAAATTTAGAAAAAAATGGATAAATTCTTATACAACTTATGACATTGAAAATGAAGAAATCCATAACGTGACTACACTAATAACCAGAAGGAAGCTGTAATAAAAAGTTTCCCAGCAAGGAAAAGTCTCGGACCCAATGGCTTCACTGCTGAATTCTACTAAACATTTAAAGAAGAACTAATAGGAAATTGTACTCAAATTATTCAAAAATATAGAGAAGGAGGAAACACTTCCAAACTCATGCTATGAGTATATTTTGATAGCAAAACCAGACAAAGACACATGAAAAAAAAGAAAACTACAGGCCAATATATTTAATGAACATCGAATAAAAAATCTGCAACAAAGTACTAGCAAATCAAATTCAACAGTACATTAAAAAGATCATTTATCATGGAGATTATTAAAAAGACAGGAAACAACAGATGCTGGTGAGACTGTGCAGAAATAGGAATGCTTTTACACTGTTGGTGGGAGTGTAAATTAGTTCAAACATTGTGTAAGACAGTGTGGTGATTACTCAAGGATCTAGAACCAGAAATACCATTTGACCCAGCAATCCCATTACTGGGTATATAACCAAAGGATTATAAATCATTCTACTATAAAGACACATGCAAACGTATGTTTACTGCAGCACTATTCACAATAGCAAAGACTTGGAACCAATCGAAAAGTCCATCAATGATAGGCTGGATAAAGAAAATGTGGCACATATACACCATGGAATATTATGCAGCCATAAAAAAGAATGAGTTCACGTTCTTTGCAGGGACATGGATGAAGGTGGAAGCCATCATTCTCAGCAAACTAACACAGCAACAGGAAACCAAACACTGCATGTTCTCACTCATAAGTAGGAGTTGAACAATGAGAACACATCGACACTGGGAGGGGAACATCACACACTCGGGCCAGTTGGCCGGTGAGGGAAGGGGAGGGAGAGCATTAGGACAAATACCTAATGCATGAGAGGCTTAAAACCTAGATAACGGGTTGATGGGAGCAGCAAAGCACCATGGCACATGTATACCTATGTAACAAACCTGCACGTTCTGCACATGTATCCCCGAACTTCAAGTAAAATTTTTTTAAAAAAAGATCATTCATGATGACCAAGTGGGATTTATCTCAGGGATGCAAGGATGGCTCAACATATGCAATTCAATCAACATAATACATCATATCATCAGCATGAAGGAGGAAAATTATACGATCATTTTAATTGATGTTGAAAAAGCATTTGATAAAATTTAACATCCCTTCATGATAAAACCCTCAAAAAAAAAAAAAACTGATGTAGAAGGAACATACCTCAACACAATAAAAGCAATATATAACAGATTCACAGCTAGTATCACACTGAATGGGTAAAAACTGAGAGCATTTCCTGTAAGATATGGAACACAAGGACGCCCACTTTCACTACTTTTATTCAATATAGTATTGGAAGTCTTAGCTAGACCAATCAGACAAGAGAAAGAAATAAAAGGCATCCAAATTGGAAAGAAAGAAGTCAAATTATCTTAGTTTGCAGATGATAGTATCTTATATTTGGAAATAATTGAAGACTCCACCAAAATCTATTGGAACTGATAAATTCAGTAAAGTTGCAGGATGCAAAATCAATATACAAAAATCAATAGCATTTCTATATGCAACAGTGAACAATCTGTTTAAAAAATTAAGAAAACAATCCTATTTATAATAGCTACAAATAAAATAAAATACATAGGACTAAACTTAACAAAAGAAGTGAAAGATCTCTACAATGAAAACTATAAAACACTGATGCAAGAAATTGAAGAAGACATAAGAAAATGGAAAAATATTTTATGTTCATGGATTGGAAGAATCAAAATTGTTAAAGTACTACATAAAGCAAGGTGCAGATTCAATGCAATTTCTAGTAAGTTACCAATAACATTCTTCAAAAAAATGGAAAGAAATTGTCTTAAATTTATATGGAACCACAAAAGATACAGAATAATGAAAGTCATCCTGAGCAAAAGGAACAAAACTGAAGGAATCACATTACCTTACTTAAAATTATACTACAGAGCTATAGTAACAAAAATGGCATTGTAACAAAAATGGCTATAGTAACAAAAATGGCATTGTATTGGAATAAAAACAGACGCATAGACCAGTGGAACAGCATACAGAACTCAGAAATAAATCCATACATCTACAGCAAGGTCATTTTCAATAAATAACCCAAGAAAATATATTGGTTAAAGGACAGTCTCATCAATAAATGACCCTGGGAAAACTGGCTATCCATATGCAGGAGAATGAAAGTAGACCCCTATCTCTCACCATATACAATAATTAAATCAAAATGGACCAAAATCTGAAATATAAGACTTGAAGCTATGAAACCATTAAAGGAAAACCTTTGAAAAATTCTCCAGGAAATTGGTCTGGGCAAAGATTTCTTGAGTAATACCACAAAAGCAAAGGCAACCAAAGCAAAAATGGACAAATGGTATCACAAGTTAAAAAGCTTCTGCACAGCAAAGGAAACAATCAACAAAGTGAAGATACAACCCACAGAATGGGTGAAAATATTTGCACATTATCTGTCTTACAAGGAATTAACATATACCAGAATATGTAAAAAGCTTAAACAGCTCAATAGAAAAAAAAATCTAATAATCTGATTAAAAAATGGGCAAAAGATTGGAATAGATATTTCTCAAAAGAAGACATACAAATGTCAAAAAGGTGTATGTAAAGGTGACCAACATCACTGACCATCAGAGAAATGCAAATCAAAACTGCAATGAAATATCATCTCACCCCAGTTAAAATGGCTTTTATCTAAAAGGTAGGCAATAATGAATGCTGGCGAGGGTGTGGAGAAAAGGAACCCTTGTACACTGTTGGTGGGAATGTAAATTAGTACATCCACTATGGAGAACACTATGGAAGTTCCTCAAAAAACTAAAAAAGAGCTATAACATGATCCAGCAATCCCATTCCTGGGCATATACCCAAAAGAAAGAAAGTCAGTGTATTGAAGAGATATCTGCATTTCCATGTTTAATATAGCACTGTTCACAATAGGCAAGATGTGGAAGCCACCTAAATGTTCATCAATAGATGAAAGGATAAAGGAAACATGGTGGCCAGGGACAGAGGCTTATACCTGTAATCCCAACACTTTGGGAGGCCAAGGCAGGTGGATTTCTTGAGTCCAGGAGTTCAAAACCACCCTGGGCAGCATAGAAAAACCCCACCTCTAAAAAAAAGTAGCCAGGTTAGTGGCACATGCCTCTTGTCCCAGCTACTCAGGAAGCTGAGGCAAGTGGATCAATTGAGTCTAAGAGGTCGAGGCTACAGCGAGCAGTGATCTCACCACTGCACTCCAGCCTGGGTGACAAAAAGAAACCCTGTTTCAAAAAAAAAAAAGAAAAAAAAAGAAGAAAAATATGGTACATATACACAATGGAATACTATTTAGCCATAAAAAGAATGAAATCCTCTCATTTGCAACAACATGGATGGAACTGGAGGTCATTCTGTTAAGTGAAATAAGCCAGGCACAGAAAAACAAACTTCACATGTTCTCATTCATTTGTGGGAACTAAAAATTAAAACAATTAAACTCATGGAGATAGAGAGTCAAATGATGGTTAGCAGAGGCTGGGAACGGTAGCAGGGGAGTGCGGATAGTTAATAGGTACAAAAATAAGATGAATGAGATCTATTATTTGATATCAACAGGGTAATTGAAATAAACAATAATTTATTGTATACTTTAAAATAACCAATATAATATAATCGGGATGTTTGTAACACAGCAAAGTGACAAATGCTTGAGGTGATGGATACCCCATTTACCCTGATGTGATTATTTCATGTAGTATACCTGTATCAAAATATCTCATATACCCCATAAATATATACACCTACTATGTACCCATAAAAATGGAAACATATTAAAAAGCTGTAAATAAACAACCTAATGATGCATCTTAATGAACAGAAAAGCAAGAGCAAAGCAATTACAAAATCAGTAGAAGAAAAGAAATAAAAGATCAGAGAAGAAATAAAACTGAGCCTGAAAAGAAATACAAAATATCTATAAAATAAAAGGTTGTTTTTTTGAAATGATATTATAGCCAAACCTTTAGCCAGACTAGCTTAAAAAAACACGAAAAAGGAGACATTACCACTGATAGAAGAAATTCAAAGGATCATTGGAAACTATTATTAGCAAGTGTATGTTAATAAATTGGAAAACCTAGAAGAGATGGATAAATTCCTAGATGCACACAACTTATGAAGACTGAGCCATGAAAAAATCTGAAACATAAACCGACCAATAACAAGTAGAAGATAGAAGCAATAATAAAAAGTCTCCTATCAAACAAAAGCCCAGAATCTGATGATGTTTCTATGAATTCTGCAAATACTTAAAGAACAAAATACCAATCCTACTCAAGGTATTATTTCAAAAAATTAAGGAGTAGAGAATATTTTCAGACCCAATTTACAAAGCCAGTATTACCTTGATACCAATACCAAAGACACAACAAAAATTGAAAGCTACACAGCACTATCTCTGATGAACATGGATGCAAAAATCCTCCATAAAATACTAGCAAATTGAATTCGACAACACTTAAAAAAGATTATTCATCATGATAAAGTGAGATTTGTGCCAGGGTTGCAAGGATGTTTCAATATTTCCAAATCAATCAATGTGCTAAATCATACCAACAGAGTGAAGAACAAAATCCATATAATTATTTCAATAGATGTCAAAAAAGCATTTGATAAAAAGACTATCTAAAACGAAGTCCCCAAATTTGGATTTTTATTTAACCCAATATTATAATGTTTTGCATATCTGATTATACAAAATTCATGCAGTAAACATATATTTTTAAATTCTGTCAGCAAACTATCGCAAGGACAAAAAACCAAACACCACATGTTCTCACTCATAGGTGGGAATTGAACAATGAGAACACATGGACACAGGAAGGGGAACATCACACACCAGGGCCTGTTGTGGGGTGGGGGGAGTGGGGAGGGATAGCATTAGGAGATATACCTAATGTTAAATGACGAGTTAATGGGTGCAGCACACCAACATGGCACATGTATACATATGTAACTAACCTGCACGTTGTTACATTATACCCTAAAACTTAAAGTATAATAAAAAAAATTAAAAAAATGTTTTATTGAAGGACAACAGACATACAATAACGTATATAAATCATGTGTAAAGTTATATAAATTTTATACTTATTTATATTTATATTCACCTGAGTAATAACCTCATGGGTCAATATGCAAAATATTTACATGCATACCTTGTTTTATTGTGCTTCACTTTATTGCACTTAGCAGATATAAAATTCTTTACAAATTGAAAGTTTGTGGCAACTCTGCATCAACCAAATCTATTGGTCCCATTTTTCCAAAAGCATGTTTTTACTTTGTCTCTGTGTTACATTTTAGTAATTCTTATAATATTTAAAACCTTTTCATTATTATATCTGTTATAGTGATCTGTGATCAGTGATTTTTGATGTTACTATTGCAATTGTTTTGAGGTGCTACAACTACGCACATGTAAGATGGCAAACTTAAGAAATATTGTGTGTGCTCTGACTGCTCGACTGTCCAGTCATTTTCCTATCTCTCTCCTTCTTCTTGGAGCCTTTCTATTCCCTGAGACACAATGTTAAAATTAGGCCACCCAAAAATCTTACAATGACTTCTAAGTGCTCAAGCGAAATGAAGAGTTGCATGTCTCTCACTTAAAATCAAAGGCTAGAAATGATTAAGCTTAGTGAGGAAGACATGTTGAAAACCGAGAAAGGTTGAAATCTAGGCCCTGTGTCAAAAAGTTAGTCAAGTTATAAATTCAAGGGGAAATTTCTTAAAGGAAATTAAAAGTGCTACACACTTTTGTACTTTTGCTACACTCCAGTGAATACACAAATGATAAAACAAAACAGCCTTATTGCTGATTTGGAGAAAGTTTGAGTAGTTTGGGTAGACGATCAAACCAGTGACCACATTCCCTTAAGCCAAAGCCTAATTTAGAGCAAGGTCCTATCTCTTTAATTCTATGAAGGCTGATAGAAGTGAAGAAGCTGCAGAAGAAAAGTATGAAGCTAGCAGAGGTTGGTCCATGAAGTGTAAGGAAATAAGCCGTCTCCATAACATAAAAGTGCAAAGTGAAACAGCAGCAAGTGCTAATGTAGGAGGAGCTGCAACAAGTTATCCAGAAGATCTAGCTAAAATCATTGATGAAGGTAGCTACACTAAACAACAGATTTTCAAGGTGAACAAAACAGCCTTCTATTGGAAAAAGATGCCATTGAGTACTTTTAACACTAGAGAGGAGAAGTCAATGCCTGGCTTCAAAGCTTCAAAAGACAGGCTAAATCTTTTTAGGGGCTAGATGGTGACTAAGCTGAAGCCAATGTTCATTTACCATTCCAAAAATTGCAGGGCTCTTAATAATTATAAGTCTACTCTACCTGCACCCTATAAGTGGAGCAATAAAGTCTTGATGACGGCACTTCTGTTTAAAGCATAGTTTACTAAATATTTTAAGCCCACTGTTGAGACCCATTACTCAGAGAAAAAAATCATTTTACAATATTACCGCTCTTTGACAATGCATCTGGTGCCCTAAGGGCTTTAATTTGGATGTACAAGAAGTTTAATGTTGTTTTTATGTCTGCTGACAAAACAACCGTTCTGTAGCCCATGAATCAAAACATAATTTTGACTTTCAAGTCTCATTATTTAAGAAATACATTTCATAAGGCTGTAAGTTGCCATAGATGGTGATTTCTCTGGTGGGTCTGGGGAAAGTCAATTGAAACCTCCTGGAAAGTGTTCGCCATTCTACATGCCATTAAGAATATTAGTGATTCATGAGAGGAGGTCAAAATGCCCACATGCACAGGAATTTGGAACGAGTTAGTTGTAACCTTTACAGACGACTTTGAGGAGTTCAAGATTTCAACAGTGGATATCACTGCAAATGTGGTAGAAATAGCAAGAGAAGCAGAGTGAGAAGTGGAGCATGAAGATGTGACTGAATTGCTGCAATCTCATCATCAAACTTGAATGAATGAAAACTTGCTTCCTGTGGATAAGCAAAAAAGTGGTTTCTTGAGATGGAACCTATTCCAGGTGAAGATGTGTGAACTTGTTGCAATGAAAACAAAGGATTTAGAGTATTACGTTAACTTAGTTCATAAAGCAGCAACAGGGTTTGAGAGGATTTACTCCAATTTTGAAACACATTCTTCTCTGGGTAAAATAGCTTCACATGCCACAGAGAAATCTTTTCTGAAAGGAAGAGTCAATAGATGCCATAAACCTCAGTGTATTATTTTCAGAAATTGCTACAGATGCTCTAACCATCAGTGACCACCACCCTTGTGAGTCAGCAGCCATCAACGCTGAGACAAGACCTTCCACGGGTAAAAACATTACAACTGGCTGAAGGTTCAGATGATTGCTAGTATTTTAAAATTAAAATATGTACTTTTTAGATATAATGTTATTGCACACTTACTAAACTTTTATATGCATTTAGAAAACAAACAATTTGTGTGATTCACTTTATTTGTTTAATTGCAGTTGCCTGGAATTGATCCTGCAATATCTCTGAGGCACGCCTATATAAAACCCCAGATGACTCCCTCATTCCCTTTCTCAGTCAGCACAGTCCACCATCCACCTCCTTGCCACAGATGTAACCACTAGTTTTGTTACTGAAAATGGCTCACAGTCCAGACCCCAAAAGAGGGTTCCTGGATCTCACGCAAGAAAGAATTTGAAGTGAATCCATACAGTAAAGTGAAAGCAAGTTTATTAAGACAGTAAAGGAATAGGCCGGGCTCAGTGGCTCATGCCTGTAATCCTAGCACTTTAGGAGGCAGAGGTGGTTGGTTTGCCTGAGCTCAGGAGTTCAAGACTAGCCTGGGAAACATGGCGAAACCCTGTATCTACTGAAATACAAAAGAAATTAGCCGGGCATGGCAGTGTGTGCCTGTAGACCCAGCTACTCGGGAGGCTGAGGCAGGAGAGTTGTTTGAACCTGGGAAGTAGAGGTTGCAGTGAGCTGAGATGGCACCACTGCACCCCAGTCTGGGCAACAGAGTGAGACTTTGTCTCAAAAAAAAAAAGAAAAGAAAAAGAAAAAAAGATCGGTCACGGTGGCTCACGCCTGTAATCCCAGCACTTTGGGAGGCTAACGTGGGTGGATCACGAGGTCAAGAGATCGAGACCATCCTGGCCAACATGGTGAAACCCCACCTCTACTAAAAATAGAAAAAAATTAGCTGGGCATGGTGGCCAAGCCTGTAATCCCAGCTATTCAGGAGGCTGAGGCAGGAAAATCTCTTGAACCCAGGACGCTGAGGTTGCAGTGAGCCGAGATCGCACCACCGCACTCCAGCCTGGGCGACAGAGTGAGACTCTGTTTTATTAAAAAAATAAATAAATAAATTTTAAAAAAGTAAAGGAATAAAAGAATGGCTACTTCATAATCAGAACAGTAGCCAAGAAAGAATGGCTACTTCGTAATCAGAGCAGTAGCCTAGGCTGCTAGACTAAAGATATTTACAGTTATTTCTTGATTGTATGCTAAGCAAGGGATGCATTATTCACGAGTTTTCTGGGAAAGGTGTGGACAATTCCTGGAACTGAGGTTTTCTCCCCCTTTTTGACCATATAAGGTATTCCTGACATTGCCTTGGTATTTGTTAACTGTCATGGCACTGGTGGGAGTGTCTTTTAGCATGCTAATGCATTATAATTAGCTTGTAATGAGCAATGAGGATGACCGGAGGTCACTTTTGTTGCCATATTGGTTTTCGTGAGATTTGGCTGGCTTCTTTACCGCATGATGTTTTATCAGCAAGGTCTTTATGACTGGCATCCTGTGTCGTCCTCCTATCTCAGCTTGTGATTAAGAGTGCCTTAACCTCCTGGGAATGCAGTGCAGTAGGTCTCAGACTTATTTTACCCAGCATGTATTCAAGATGGAGTCACTCTGGTTTAAACACCTCTGACAGTTGGAGATTAATTTTGCTTCTTCCTGAAATTCATATAAATGGAGTAGTTCATGCTTTTGTGTCTTCTTTATTTCCCTCAGTATATATTCTTTGAGATTCTCCCAAACCACATTTTGGTAATATAACACATCATTTGTTTTTGTTAAGATGCATTTGTTTGCTGGAAAGATGAGCACAAGACTGATAACCAAGGCCAATGCTTTGTTGAATTTGTCATTCCTAGATTAACATTTGCCTTGTTATTGTGCAATTCTTCCACCATTTTTGTCTAAATTTTAGATTATCACAAAAGTACAAAATTAAAAAATTTCTAATGATTATAAATCATCTGTGGATATGTGAAATCTGAAAACCCCAGTTTGGAATATACTGACTTAAAAGAAGAAATTGTCTAATACCTAATTAAATTAGCATTGACAGATGTATGATGAGTAAAAGCCCTGCTAAGGGCCTTTCATTAAGAAAATTTTCAGAAGAAGGGAAGCAATACCACTTTCTAACTTGTCTGAGGACTGGTGCTGATTGAAGAACACATTTGATTTTAGCTAATGGGTTGTTTTCTTTTAGCTTACTTGGACAAAATTTGAACTTACATCATTAATGCTGACAATACTTGCAGGTTCTTCAGAAACTGCATCTGTGTTCAGCACTATATTTCAGAGAAAGTAACAATGGGGACACTGCAAATAAGTAGAACAATACCCATAATGTCAGGATAAAGTTCTTCTTTTGTAACTGAGTGAATTGATAAAAAGGATTGAGAGTAGACTAGCTTTGCTCTCAGGAGGGCTGTTAGGAAAGCTATGCAATGAAATTGAGGACAGTAAAAGGACCCTGTCATGCCATTTGTAAAATTCTTTATAGCAGCACTTGAAATTAAATGCATTCTTTATAGCTATGCTTAGATTGTAGTTTTATTCAAGTACTTATTTTGAGATCTTTGGGGAAGAGTGTTCTTACAGGCATAGAGAAAGTTGTAAAAGTGAGGTAAAAGTAGAAATAAATAAAAGGTAGCACTTAAATTGTATTTCTCCAGTTTAGGATGCTCCAACAGAGACAATATAAACCAATAATTAATAATTTGTCAGTTAGAAAACTATTTCCTTTATGTGTAGAGTCAAACTCTCTTTTCATCTCAGAAGGAAAACAAAGATGAGCATGCTCAAATTCTGACTATTGAAGGAAACCACCTGCATGTAAAATATATTTCAGTGGTTTTCAACTCTGACCACAAGAACTTTATCACTTACTGAAAAATTATAATACAGTATGAATCATAACGAACAGGTTAGGTAGTTTTTATTATTTTAATCCAAATGGCCATGTAATAAAATAAAAGTTCTAAACCCTGCTTTGGGCTGAATTTAGCTTTCTTTTTAGATAAACATTTATGGTGCCTCAGGGGAATCTCTCTCATCACACCTCCTATTATTTTATAGTTTCCTAAGCTTTGGGTAATACCTAAGTCAAATATAATCGACCTACCAATGAACCCACCATACGAACAAACTGACCAACATGCAAACATAATTTGGTACTGAACTCTTTTTCCATGAAGAGTAAAAAATAAATTTCTTTTAGATATCTGAAGGAACTATAAATTTCTCATCTCATAAACCTAAATTATGTAATATGAAATAATATAAAAGAAGGGAATATTATAGAAAAAATTAACTTTAAATAAAAAAATGAATATTACCCTAAAATATTTGGTCAATAGTACTAGGAAGGATCAAACTTTTTGTTACTGATATGTATGTATGTACTGATACGTATGATCAGCTGTAATGGATCACATGCTCTAACTTTTTGGTTTGTTCTTTGTAGTAGTCAGTAATGCTGTCTAAAAAATATTTGCCTTTCTGGTTTCTGAGATCAGTGGAATGGCAGTCTCCAGCTCTTTGAAATTAATTGTGGCCTTGTGACTTGCTTTGGTCAATGAAGCATAAGAAGTTATATGGGTCACTTCTCTTTCTCTCTCTCTCTTTCTTTTCTCTTTTTAGAAAGAAACAGGGTCTTGCTCTTTTGTAAGACTGGAGTATAATGGTGTAATCATAGCCCACTGAAACCAAGAACTCCTGGACTTAAGCAATCTTTCTGCCTCAGCCTCCTGAGTAGCTGGGACTACAGGCATGCATCACCATGCCCATCTAATTTATTTTTGTTTTTATTTTTTATAGAGACAGTCTTGATATGTTGCCCAGGCTGGTCTTAAACTCCTGGCCTCAAGTGATTCTCCCACCTTGGCCTCCCAAAGTGCTGAGATTACAAGTGTGATCCACCATGCCTGGCCCATATGGGTCAATTCTGGAAGAAGGTTTTAAGAGCTGGTGTGTGACTTGCTTCTGCCTTTCTTCCTGGTGTGTTGACTTCAGGCAATGGTTGACTGTCTTAGCCTCGTTCCCAGGATGAGGAGGACATGGTGCAGAGCCACAGCTATCTCAAGATGGATAAGGAGTGAGAATGAGAAATACATTTTTGTTTAAAGCTACTGAGAGTGGGGTGTTGTGTTACTGAGCCTTTATTGATGGAGTCCCATCTCATGTACTGTCTATGGAAGAATCCACATAGACAGACAACTTATATCAATTCTTGTGCTCAGAGTCTAAAAGAGGACACAAATAGAAAAAAAGGCAAAAGAGCAAGGGAAAAGTGGAGGTGAGTTATGGTTACATAAGGGGAAGAGAAAGAAGAACATTTAGAGGGAAGAGAAAGACTAGAATATATTTTGATTATTTTACATTCAAATAATTATTCTCTTGGGTATTTGTTTTTTACTTGTAAAGATTAAGTTATAAAAAATAACTTAGAAAAGCATAAAACTTTAAGTATATTCCTCTGTTAATTTTGTACACACATAGGATGACTGGAGAGTAAAAGAACCTATAAAATTTTATGTTCCAGCGTGAAATAACTGATTGTGGTCTTCATTGCTTCTGTGGGAAATTCAGAGACCACTGATTCTAACTCTTCGGCAAATGTAGCTAATGCAAATTGAGGTGAAACATACCAAGTCTGTTTGCATGATGACAACTACTACAACATATGTTGAAAAGTGGGAAATATAGATACTTAAACATTTTGTCTGAATATCAGTCAGCTGCATGGACTCAGTATTTATTTTGCCTTTAAGACACTGCTAAGAAGAACATTCTTATTTAAATAACTCAATTTGTCTGCTACCAAAATTACCCATTCAATACCAACAGAAAAGATTGTACACGTTAACTATACTGCAAACAAACAAAAGGAATCAAAACAAAAAGACAGATGCACTCACATTCTTTCATTACATTATAAAGCTAATTCAGTTCAAGAATGATTCAGTATTTGCCACATGCTTTGTTTAGGAACCGTGATGTATTGCTCATATCATCCAACGAAGGAAAACAAGAACAGTTAACTCAGAATGCTAATGGATTGCTGAGATTATTTTCTAAGTGCTTTAATAGAAGAAGTTATCTAAGCTTCTCAACCACACTGTTAGGTATTACCATAATCCCGTTTTATAGATGAGGAAACTAGGGCAAAGTGGGGTTAAGTAAACTGCCTGAGGTCCCCTGGTTAGTGGGGTAGAGAAGCCAAGAATCAAGCCCTGGATTCATAACGCCTCTGCGCTGCTGATCTTGGAGAGCGGGCAGCCAATGAGAGAGACTCAGGCATGAAGTCAGTCTGATTTTTCATAACTATGACTGGCTCTTATTTTGTATTTATAATGTATCTTCTCACCCTCTGTGGTTAAACAATTTTTATTTTTCCATTTTTGTTCTAGGCTTTAATAAAATACAGAATTTTTAAATACTTATGAGCTTTAGTACAATATACAACTTTATTTTTATCTATTTTCTTTTTCCACTAAGTACTTTTTATATATCAATGCAGCTTTTAATAATTATACATTTTTAATGGCTAACATTTCATAGAGTTGAGGTACCAGAATTTATTTAATTATTTGTTCATTTTGGCCATTTACATTGCTCTCATTCATTTTATTTCATAAATAACACTGCAGTAGATTCTCATGAAATATTTCCTCAGGACATATTGTCATGTATCTACTTGTAATATATAACTTTTCTTTTTCCAAATTGTGTTCTAATTTATTCCATCACCGGTATATATGTGCAATGATTTTACCATAATTTTGCCAGTATTTGGAATAATCATTTTTTAGATTTTTGTTAGTTTAGAAGGTATAAAATGGTATCTGCTACTTAATTGGTTTCTTCGATGTCATAAATTGATCATTAACTGTCATAAATTGATGCCCTATGCTCTGATGTGCCAAAAATACATACATCTTTATTTCCTATGGTGACCTGATTTTTCTCACGTGTAAGTTCATATAGTGTCACTTCCTTATATTTTACTAAGGTTTATAAGTATTTAAAATATTCATTCTATTCAAAATTAAATTCTTTATTGGTGCTGACTTTGCTTTTTAAGATTATTCAGGCCCTTTTAGATGAATGCTTAGTCTCTTACAGTTTCATCCCGACCCCCTCCCTCTTTGCATGTTGGAGTGTAGAAATCTAAGAGGGATTGTTTTGTCCATAAGCAGGAAAGGCAGAAGGAAGCTTCAGATTATTGCTTACCCCTTCTACACTCACTAATTGCTGCTGAAGAGTGGCTAATTTGGTTCTGCTTTTTGTGCTGGTGCAAGCTGAAGTATGACTGATGCTACTGATGACTTCTGGCTTTGGGGAGTGACTACTGGATGCCCTACAAAAGTGTATACCCTGAATAGTAAATCTCACACACAGAAGCCACTTTGTCATGCCACGATGTCTCTCATTGCTCTCCTTGAAGTGCTCCTGCAGTGCTCACAATCTCTCATTGGTGGTTGTGGAAACTTATGGGTCTCCTGCACATACTGCATAGGTAACGAGGAGCTTGGAGGGCTGCTTCCAGGTCTGTACATCTTCCAAAGCTATAGCAGCAGTACTATCCTGTAGTAGGTTAATACTAATCATATGAGGGAATTTTCCCAGGGAGTTTAAGCTGCCCAAACATGCCAGGGACAAAATTCTAGCAGCATCTAATATCTTGCCAATGGTCTTGAGCTTTCTAAACCTTGTTTAATATATTTTTCTGGACATTCCTCTTTGGAGTTCTACTAGCAAAGGGTGAAAACAGGAACAAATACTATAACCACTCGTGACTCCTCCTGTCTTTCTTTTAAAGTGAAATATGCCAGGTAAGAAGAGACAGGATTTTACTGTTCAGTTCATATCTGATGTTACATTCTGTTTTTCCCAATGTGTTGTTTATCTTGCCTTCTTCTATAAAGTCCATTATGGCCAGGACATAGTGAAGGGAGGGATAGCTTGCTAAATAAGAAACAAAAATTTAGAACTATTCTTTAAACTTTTAAATTGAAGTGTAACATACATACTGTAAAATGCACACATCTTAAGCTATATGAATTTTTACACAGTGATAATACCTGTACAACTACCACCTAGGTTAAGATATAGAATATTAATAACATCCCGGACATTTCACTCAGGCTCCCTCCCAGACACTACCTATTCCATGGCTCAGAGAATGTGGCTAGAGTATGATTTTGTTTTTCTTTCTTCCCCTACTTTTTTTTCTTCTTATTTTTCCCCTCTTGAAGTATGAAGAGTTTCCTGAAACTTTGACTTGATGGCTCCCATCAGTTTTGAAAAATGCATGGCTAGTTTTCTTTATTCCTTCTGTCTTCAAAGTTTCTGGGGCTCCAAAAACTCTCCATTCATTATATATCTTTTATGTATTTTCCATGTTTTAGCTATATTAGTCATAGTTTCTGCTATGTCTCATTTGGCTTTAAATTCATCTATTAAATGCTTATTTAGTTACTGTGTTTTAAATTTCTATAATGTTAATTAAATTTTCTCCATATATTCTAATTCTATGCTAAAATTCTTCACTTTTCATATATACTCAAATATATTAAGCATAGTTATTTAAAGTTAATGTCTAATAATTTCAATACTTGAACCACTGTTGGGTCTGTCTCTGTGTCATTTTTTCCTTTTGTTTTTAAATTATTTGGTTCTGTATCTTGGCATGTCTGGTCATATCTTATTCAATTCAAGAATTATATATGTTAAATTGTATAAGCACGGACTGATTTTTTTTTCCTCTGCCCAGAATTTGTACATATCAATCAGACATACCTTATTGATCATATTCTATAGTCTTCTCACCTTCTCAGTGGTCATTGAATGTTACTGTTCTATGGGTATTTGAAAAAAAAAATGATGTATTCCCTATTTTCTGCCACCAAAACTTATATACATCAGAGTAATCTTAGTAATTACATTATTCATATTCTATGTTTATTTTTCTCTAATTTCATATGTAATATAATGAAGAGTAAATTAAAATCTTACTGCTACTGTCTCTCCTATCATTTCTGACATATAATTTTTGCTTATTCAATACATAATTGTATATTTATAACTGTAATATATTCATTATGAGTTGCAACTTTTAGCGTTACAAAGTGCCCTTTTGGTCTCCTTTAATAATTTGAGGTCGAAATCCATGTAATTTTATGTTGAGCTTGTGATATTGATATTATTTTTTAGTTTACAGTTGACACTTCTTTTATTTTCAGACTTAGAAAATCATTTTATTTTGCATGTGTCTCTTGTAAATATCCAAAGTTGGTGTTTGCATTATAATCTAAGCAGAACATTTCTTTCTTTAATAGGTCAAACTCATTTATATTTAATGCTATGACATATATGGGTTTTAATTTTGTCATATGTGATGTTTTCTTTTTAGATGGCTTGTAAAGTTTTTTTTTTCTTCATGGTTGGTTTTTATTTATTGTTCGTTTTTGTGATTTTGTTTTTCTTCAACTTTTATTTTAAGTTCCAGGGTACATGTACAAGATGTGCAGGTTTGTTACATGGGTAAATGTGTGCCATGGTGGTTTGCTGCACAGATCAACCCATCACCCAGGTATTAAGCCCAGCATCCATTAGCTATTCTTCCTGATGCTCTTCCTCCCCCAGCCCTCCACCCCAAAACAGCCCCCAGTGTGTGTTATTCCCCTCCATGTGTCCATGTGTTCTCGTGTTTCTTATTATAGTTAGAAAGTTTTCTATTGTTCTCTACCTCTCCACTCCTCTTCTTCATGATTCAATTTTAATCAACAGTATGCATTTCCTTAAATATACTTTTTCTCTTAAATATGCTAATACTCTTATTCCTTGATTTATTTATCAATTTGCTAAAACTCTTATTACTTGTTTATTTTTAATGATATTTTGTTGCCTCTAGTTCTTGAAATGCAAACTGCAAACTTATTCTGTCCTATCTTTTTCCCTTCTGCTTCTAAAGTGTTAAGAACCATATTCTTTCCATGTAAAAAGTTATATTATAATTTGTCACCACCTTTGTCCTACCCTTTTTTGGTCTTCTGCAGTTAAATATTTTAAATCCTTATTCCTAGTCTTTTTTGTGAATTTCTCTAGTCATATTTAATTGGCTAATGTTAGATATTTAGTAATTTTTTCAAGAAAATCTCATGAGTGCCAAATTACCAGAGTTAGTATGCATTCAAACGTTTAGTTGCAGTGTTTATAACAGAGGTAAAATTTGGCTGGATGTAAACGTCAAACTTTATAACTTGGGTACCTTGTAAATGTTGCTCAACCATCTTCTAATAATGAATGTTGCTATGTAGAAATCTGAAGCCAAGGTGACTTTTCCCTTCATTCTTAGGGTGACTTGGTAATATGTCTTCAAGAAAAATACACTATTTATAGGGAATAGAACAATAACTGCACAGGACACTAGAAAAACAGGTGTAACCCAGGGTTTTCTTTGTTAAATCGGAATGCATGAATACCTAATCTGATAGTGGCTTTCATGTACGTATAGCTGATTTTACTTTCCTTAGGGAATTTTAATTATGTCAATGTTGATGCTTGTTTAACAGTATATATTTACTTTAGAAATTTTTAAAAATTCCATTAAAAATTTCCCTCTCATTATCCTTTATTATCTTTTCCAGTGTTTAGCCTCTTTTTACTCCTTCCAATGTTGTTATTTCTCTTATGTGTTTGTGTGTTTTTGGTCTATTTGTGTGTGTGTGTGTGTGTATGAGTGTGAGTTCTGCCAACTCAGATTTCATATCGACTTGTTGTCTTCCACTTCTGTGCTAAATTATTTTTTATTCACATGCAAAGGATTGTCTTTATACTAGTCAAAAACAGAACCTACATTGAGACAAACTCATTATTTAAATAAATATCACACCAACTATTGGAGACATGCAAAAATTCACAAAAACATAGTCATACGAACAGTAGTCATATATCCACACATAAAAATCTGTTTTGTACTGACAGGAATATGTTTCATTTTCAAGTTTCTAGATATAACTTACTGAAATTTACTACATATGAGATGATGAAGAAAAGTTTAATAGAAACAAAATACAAAATAATCCAAATATCTTTTTGCTGACCACAATGTAACAAACCAGAAATTAATAACTAAAGTAAACACAAAGTCTTGGAAATTAAAAGAAAAGCTCTATCCTAAATAACTCTTGGGTATAATAAAAAAATTAAATTACAATTATAAAAAAATAATTAGTACATTCTTTATAAAAATGTATGAGATATGATAAAAACTACTCAAATGAAATTTACAGTTTTATAAGCTGCTATTAAACGGAAAAAATGAAAAAGAAAGCAAGAGAAGTTTTAGCACAGGAAGTTAGAAAAAGAATAACAAAATTTATCTAAGTAGAAAATATAAAAGAAACAAATATACTTAAAATCAGAGTCAATGTATTGGCATAGTAAAATAAGAGACTTGGCGAAAATCGTGGGTTAATTCTGACAGAGAAAATACAACGTCAAATCAATAGTCTAATTTTTCATAAAGGAGACATAATTTGAAAATTTTTCTAGAACATCTCAAAGGTCAAAGTGTCTTCATTTTTGGAAATGTGATTAACTAATTTTTGTTTAACTGTCTTATAATGAGGCCTACACTAAATTTCCTTTTAAAAACAAAATTATTCCCCCAACATTCCTTGCCCTTCTTAATCTGCTTCATTTGTTTCTGTAATACTTACTGTCTTGTAACACACTATGGAATTTATTTGTTTATAATGCTTATGGCTTATTTTCTTTTCCCTAGCCCTAACTAAAATATAAGGTTTATAAGAGTAGAGATTTTGTCTTTGATTATTCACTAGAACTGTTCATGACATATAGTACGTGCTAAATAAATATTGAATGAGTAAACAAAAGTTTGTTATTTCAGTCTTTGTGGTAACAATAACAAAATAATATACAAAGAAAAGCATAAAAATAAGACCATGTTATTGTCAATTTCTTCACAATTTACAATGAGAAAACAGAGACAAAGAAAGTGATCAACATTTGACTTCTGAGTCTTGTAGATGGGACAAGTACTATAGTTTGTAGTTTTCTGGTCCATTTGTTGTTTCACTATATATGGTCTTTCTTGTCCCAAAGCTAAGCATTCGACCTTTAATTTTAATTACTCTGGCATATCAGATTCTAAATTTGTTCACACATAAGATAAAAATTCCAAAGCTTAGGATAGTGAGTATGTCAGCAACATTTCATAGCTGGTTAGTAGTAGAACTTCTGACCCCTCCCTAACAGGTGTTACGTTGTTATGTACTTGCTCCCCACTCTTATTATATGCAAAGGCATAAAACAGAAGAATATCAGCTAATTCTCATTTATTCACAGATGTTTCTTCCACCAGAGTATTTTACTGTTTAATTATAAAACTTTCTGAAGGTATTAATCATAAATCTTTTTGCTAAGTTTTTATTAGTCATCTCTTGCTTGGCTAAAGTTCATCTTGTACTAGTTTCCTCAAGACTCTTGTAAACAATGTTTTCTAACTCTTACTGTTCACAACTGTTTACAGCTGTTCTACTTAAAGGGCAGGTTGGATAATACTTCGTTTTCTTGAATAGTCAGTGTGTAGCTTCAATGTCCTCCAGTATTGAATGTTCTTGTGAAAGCCTCATGCCAAACTGATTTTCTTCTTAAGTGACTTGATCTCTTTAAGTATCTGACATATGCATTATTTCTTTATCTTTAAAATTTATTACCTTTGTAGCGTATGTATTAGTGTTGACATTTAGGTTAATTTTCCTCTACAGATAATGAGTCATTGCAATATGAAGAACCAAGCCTTTTTTGTTTTAATTTCATAATTTTTTTCTTGAATTTTTTTAAAATTTCAGATTCATTGTTTTTCTTTTCAGGACTCTGTACTTATGCTAGTTTGGATTGTATATATCTATGATCTATATTTTTTATTTTCTCCCAATTTTTTCCTTCTTTCTCTGACTTCATTTTCATTTTATTTTGTTCTTTATCAATTTTTTTTTTCACAAATTTCTTACTGGACTCTCATAGGATCTATTCCCCATTGAGTTCCTTATAATTTTTCTTCATTTCTGAAGTGATTTTGGTGTCTATTTTTCTGAAATTGTGCCATTTCCTATTTTATCATGTTTTTTTAATAGAGATCATCCCTGGTCTTTGAGCATCTTTTCTCCAAATTCTTTTATTTCTGTCCTATAACCTTCCTTCATGCTTTGATCTTTCATTAAGAGGGCTACAGTGTTCATCTGCTTTGTGATTTTTTTTTTTTTTTTTTGGTGAGTCTTCCTCATTTATAGAAAATTTTGTATTGTAACTTTTATTGATGCTTGTTTATTCCTTTTGTTGTCACTCATATTGGAATGAGTTGGATTTTCTGGGACTAAGGTTAAGTATCCCTTATGCAAAATGCTTGGGATCAGAAGTGTTTTGAATTTTAGCTTTCTTTTTGGATTTTGCAATATTTGCAGTTACAACAGTTGAACTTCACTAATCCAAAAAATAAAAATAAAACTGAAATGCTCTAATAAACATTTTCTTTGAGCATCATGTCAGCTCTCAAAAAGTGTTGGATTTTGGAGCACTTCAGATTTCAGATTTTCAGATTAGGGATACTCAGCCTTGCCAGAGTTCACCTCAGCATGTAAGATCAGGCCAGAGTAAATTTCTAGCAATCCATCCTTCCACACTGATGGATGGCTTCCTAGTTAACATATCTTCTCTGATTCTCAGAGGAGACTCTCAGAGCATCTCAAAGGTCAAAGTGTGTCATTTTGGAAAATGTAATTAGCTGATTTTAGTTTAACTGTCTTATAAAGAGGGCTACACTGAATTTCCTTTTTTTTTTTTTTTTTTTTTTTTTTTAGACGGAGTCTCACTCTGTCACCAGGCTGGAGTACAGTGGCAAGATCTTGGCTCACTGCAAGCTCCACCTCCTAGGTTCATGCCATTCCCCTGCCTCAGCCTCCCAAGTAGCTGGGACTACAGGCACCCACCACCACGCCTGGCTAATTTTTTGTATTTTGTTTAGTAGAGACGGGGTTTCACCGTGTTAGCCAGGATGGTCTCGATCTCCTGACCTCGTGATCTGCCCGCTTCAGCCTCCCAAAGTGCTGGGATTCCAGGTGGGAGCCACTGCGCCTGGCCTGAATTTCCTTTTTAAAATAAAATTATTTCCCCAGCATTTCTGGGAACCATAAACATGGTTCTGGATGACTTCTGCCTTCATCCCTGGACTTTCCTGGTTTTTTCACCAAGGAGATGGGTCTTGTTTTCCACAATGATACACTAATATTTCAAAGGTTTATCTTGCTGATGCTTCCTAGATCTTCCACCTCTGCCCTCCTGCTCCTTTCCTGTCTGCAAACTCTGCTTCTCCCAGTGCTTAGGCAATCCCTATTCAAGACAGCCTGCACAGAGTCCTTCCTTTTTGTATTTAGGGCACGTACAGGATCTGCCACCAGCAGACCACCAGATGCTGAGAGGTGAAGCTAGCTGGACTTCTGGGTTGGGTGGGGACTTGGAGAACTTTTCTGTCTTACAAGAGGATTATAAAATGCACTAATCAGCACTCTGTAAAAATGCACCAATCAGTGCTCTGTGGCTAGAGGTTTGTAAAATAGACCAATCAGCACACTGTAAATTGGACGAATAAGTGCTCTGTAAAATGAACCAATCAGCAGGACATGGGCAGGGACAAATAAGGGAATAAAAGCTGGCCACCCCAGCCAGCAGTGGCAACCCTCTTGTCCCCTTCCACACTATGGAAGCTTTGTTCTTTAGCTCTTCACAATAAATCTTGCTGCTGCTCACTCTTCAGGTCCATGCCATCTTTAAGAGCTGTAACACTCACTGCAAAGGTCCATGGCTCCATTCTTGAAGTCAGTGAGACCACGAACCCACCAGAAGGAACCAACTCCAGACACATCTTGGGGGCTCATCTGGAATATTTCCAAGTGGTGAGTACAATTGGACCCATTTTGCTTGCTATTTTCTCCTATTTTTCCTCAGAATTTGGGGGCTAAACACCGGGCACCTATCAGCCGGCTAAAAATGACTAGCATGGCTGCAGGACTAAAGACATGGGTGTCAGGCTTTCTGGGAAAGAGCTCTCTAACTATTCCTGACTCTTCGGAGTTGGTAGCATTGGTTTGCCTGGAAACAGCTTAAACTTTTCCTGTACTTCTGGGCTGAACTGAGTGTCAACAGAAAGGAAAGCCATTCAGCTCCAGGGTCCTGATAAAATGTTGGTTGACCCTATAGCCATGAGCAGAGCTCTCAAAGTCAAGTCATCTAAGCAAGACTTGCCCATCTATCCTATCTAACTTGACCCTTGCCTCCTGGGTCCTAATGCTTTTCAGACAAATTTCCTCCTGCCTCTCTTTTCCGAGGCTAGTCCCGCTTCTAAAAACCACTCCCTGTCTCTGGTGCTTTTCTAGTTTCTCCTATAAGAATGATTTCTAGTATAAATTTTGGGACTCTATTCCTTTCTTTAGGCACCCAGGCTCACCAATCAGAAAGACTTAGTTTTTGCCCAAAGCCCCACTGGGAGTTGGGGGAGACTATCTGGAATTTTAGGATCCCTCCTCAGACTAGCAGGCCTAACAAAGGCTATTTCTGAAGCTAGGATATGGGGAGCCTCAGAAATGATATCCTTCCTATTCATGTGATGAGAAGTGAGGACAAAAGGTGTCACTCTTCCAAGGGAAGATCCCTTGGAATCCTGAAGGGATCCTGGAGATCCCTTCCCTCCCTTAGGGTGTGGCCCTCCACTCCATTTTTGGGGCATATCATCTTTATAGGACAGAGGTAAGGTCCCAATACTAACAGGAGAAAATGCTTGGGACTCTAATAGGTTTTTGAGAATGTGTTGGTAAGGACCACTAAATCTGATTTTTCTTGGTCCTCTTTGTGGTCTGAGAGGAAAGGCAAGGGTGCAGATTTTTGAGAATGTGTCGGTAAGGGCCACTAAATCCCACCTTCCTTGGTCCTCTTTGTGGTCTACGAGGAAAACCAGTGTTTCTGCTGCTGCTTCAGTGAGCACAACTATTCTGAATAGCAGGGTCCAGGGACCATTGTGGGTTCTAGGGCCAGTGAGGGGGAGACAAACAAACCAAAATGGTGGGCAGTTTTTTCTTTCAGATGGGAAACACTCAGGCATCAACAGGCTCACCCTTGAAATGCATCCTAAGCCATTGGGACCAATTTGACCCACAAACTCTGAAAAAGATATGGCTCATTTTTCTCTGCACTACGTCCTGGCCCCAATATTCTCTCTGATGTGAAAAAATGGTCGCCTGAGGGAAGTATAAATTACAATACTATCCTGCAGCTTAACCTTTTCTGTAAGTGGGAAGGCAAATGGAGTGAAATACCTCATGTCCAAGCTTTCTTTTATTGAAGGATAATCCACAACTATGCAAACTTGCAATTTACATCCCACAGGAGGAACTCTCAACTTACCTCCATATCCTAGCCTCCTTACAGATCCCCTTCCTATTAATGATAAGGCTCCTCTAGTCTCCCCACCCAGAAGGAAACAAGCAAATAAATCTCCAAGGGACCACAAAAACCCCTGGGCTATTGGTTATGTCCCCTTCAAGCTGTAGGGGGAGGGGAATTTGGCCCAACCCAGGTACATGTCCCCTTCTCCCTCTCTGATTTAAAGCAGATCAAGGCAGACCTGGGGAAGTTTTCAGATGATCCTGATAGGTACATAGATATCCTACAGGGTCTAGGGCAAACCTTTGACCTCATTTGGAGAGATGTCATGATATTGTTAGATCAAACCCTGGCCTTTAATGAAAAGAATGTGACTTTAGCTGCAGCCTGAGAGCTTGGAGATATTTGATATCTTAGTCAAGTAAATGATAGAATTACAGCCAAAGAAAGGGACAAATTCCCTACCAGTCAGCAAGCCATCTGCAGTATGAATCCCCACTGGGACCTAGACTCGGATCATGGGGACTAGAGTCATAAACATATGTTGACTTTTGTTCTAGAAGGACTAAGGAGAATTATGAAAAAGCCCATGAATTAGTCAATGATGTCCACCATAACTCAGGGAAAGGAAGAAAATCTTTCCGCCTTCCTTGAGCAGCTATGGGGGGCCCTAAGAAAATATACTCCCCTGACACCTGACTCCCTCAAAGGTCAATTGATCCTAAAAGGTAAGTTTATTACCCAGTCAGCCACAGATATCAGGAGAAAGCTCCAAAAGTGAGTCCTGGGCCATGAACAAAATCTGGAGGCATTATTAAACCTGGCAACCTCAGTGTTCTATAGTAGGGACCAAGAAGAATAGGCCAAAAAGAAAACAATATCAGAGAAAGGCTGCAGCCTTATTCATGGTCCTCAGACAAACAAACCTTGGTGGCTCAAAGAGGACAGAGAATGGAGCAGGCCAACCACCTGGTGGGGCTTGTTATCAGTGTGGTTTGCAATGACACTTTAAAAAAGATTGTCCAATGATAAGCAAGCTGACCCCTCATCCATGTCCACTATACCGAGGCAATCACTGGAAGGCACACTGCCCCAGAGGTCAAAGGTTCTCTGGGCCAGAAGCCCCAACCAGATGATCCAACAACAGAACTGAGGGTGCCTGGGGCAAGCACCAACTCATGTCCTCACCCTCACTGAGCCCTGGTACATTTAACCAATGAGGGCCAGGAAATTGACTTCTTCCTGGACACTGGCATGGCTTTCTCAGTGTTAGTCTCCTGTTCCTGACAGCTGTCCTGTAGGTCCATTACCATCCACGGAATCCTGGGACAGCCTGTAACCAGGTATTTCTCCCACCTCCTTAGTTGTAACTGGGAGACTTTGCTCTTTTCACATGCCTTTCTTGTTATGCTTGAAAGTCCCACACCCTTATTAGGGAGGGACATATTAGCCAAAGCTGGAGCTATTATCTGCATGAATATGGGGAACAAGTTACCCATTTGTTGTCTCCTGCTTGAGGAGGGAATCAACCCTGAAGTCTGGGCACTGGAAGGACAATTCAGAAGGGAAAAAAAGTGTCCACCCAGTCCAAATCAGAATAAAAGACCCCACCACTTTTCCTTATCAAAGGCAATATCCCTTAAAGCCTGAAGCTCATAAAGGATTACAGGGTATTGTTAGACATTTAAAAGCTCAAGGCTTAGTAAGAAAATGCAGCAGTCCCTGCAACACCCCAATTCTAGGGTACAAAAACTGAACGGTCAGTTGACTAGTGCAAGATCTTAGACTCTTCAATGAGACAGTAATTCCTCTATATCCAGTTATACCTAACCCCTATACTCTGCTCCCTGAAATACCAGAGGAAGCAGAATGGTTCATGGTTCTGGACCTCAAGGATGCCTTCTTCTGTATTCCCCTGCACTCTGACTTTCAGTTTCTCTTTGCCTTTGAGGATCCCACAGACCACATGTCCCAACTTACATGGACAGTCTTGCCCCAAGGGTTTAGGGATAGCCCTCATCTGTTTGGTCAGGTACTGGCCCAAGATTTAGGCCACTTCTGAAGTCCAGGCACTCTAGTCCTTCAGTATATAAATGATTTACTTTTGGCTACCAGTTTGGAAGCCTCATACCAGCAGGCTAGCCTAGATCTCTTAAATTTTCTAGCTAATCAAGAGTACAAGGTGTCTAAATTGAAGGCACAACTCTGCCTACGACAAGTCAAATATCTAGGCCTAATCTTAGCCAGAGGAACAAGGGCCACCAACAAGGAATGAATACAGCCTATACTGGCTTATTCTCACTCTAAGACATTAAAACAGTTGTTGAGGTTCCTTGGAATCACAGGCTTTTGCTGACTATGGATCCCCGAATACAGCGAGATGGCCAGGGCAGTCCATACTCTAATCAAGGAGACCCATAGGGCAAATGCTCATCTAGTAGAATGGGAACCAGAGGCAGAAACAGCCTTCAAGACCTTAAAGAAGACCCTAGTACAAGCTCCAGCTTTAAGCCTTCCTACAGGACAATACTTCTCTTTATACATCACAGAGAGAGCAGGAATAGCTTGTGGAGTCCTTACTCAGACTCATGGGACAACCCCACAACCAGTGGCATACTTAAGTAAGGAAATTGATGTAGTAGCAAAAAGCTGGCCTCACTGTTTACAGGTAGTTGTGGTGGTGGACATCTTAGTATCAGAGGCTATCAAAATAATACAAGGAAAGGATCTCACCGTCTGGACTACACATGATGTAAATGGCATACTAGGTGTCAAAGGAAGTTTATGGCTATCAGACAACTGCCTGCTCAGATACCAGGCACTACTCCTTGAGGGACTGGTGCTTCAAATATGCATATGTGCAGCCCTCAACCCTGCCACTTTTCTCCCACAGGATGGGGAACCAATCAAGCATGACTGCCAACAAATTATAGTCCAGACTTATGCCACCTGAGAGGATCTCTTAGAAGTCCCCTTCGCTAATGCTGACCTTAACCTATATACTGATGGAAGTTCATTTGTGCAGAATGGGATATGTAGGGCAGGTTATGTCATAGTTAGTGATGTAACAGTAATTGAAAGTAAGCCTCTTTTCCCAGGGACCAGAGCTCAGTTAGCAGAACTAGTGGCACTTACCCAAACCTTAGAACTGGGAAAGGGAAAGAGAATAAATGTGTATACAGATAGCAAGTATGCTTATGTAATCCTATATACCTATGCTGCAATGTGGAAAGAAAGGGAGTTCCTAACCTCTGGGGGAACCCCCATTAAATACCACAAGGAAATCATGGAGTTATTGCATGCAGGGCAAAAACCCAAGGAGGTGGCAGTCTTACACTGCCAAAGCCATCAAAAAAGTAAAGGAGAAAAGGCAGAAGGAAACTGTTGGGCAAACACTGAGGCCAAATTTGGTGCCAGATGGAACCTTCCATTAGAAATTCCCATGGGAGGACCCTTGGTATGGAACAACCCTCTCCAAGAGATGAAGCCCCAGTATTCCCTGACTGAAACAGAATGGGGACTTTCATGAGGGCATAGTTTTCTCCCCTCGGGGTGGTTAATGATGGAAGAGGGAAAGGTACTCATACCTGAAGCCAGCCAGTGGAAAATACTTAAAACCCTCCACCAAACTTTTCACATGGGTCTTGAGAACACTCGTCAAATGGCCAAATCCCTGTTTTCAGCACCAAATCTCCTCTGGACCATCCAACAAAGTAGTCAAAGCCTGTGAGATGTGCCAAAGGAATAATCCCTTGGTCCATCATAAGGCCCCTCTGGGGGAACAAGGAATAGGTCACTATCCCAGAGAGGACTGGCAGTTAGACTTCACCCGTATGCCTAAGTCAAAGGGATTTTAATACTTGTTGGTCTGTGTTGATACCTTTACAACTTGGATAGAAGCCTTCCCCTGCAAGACAGAGAAGGCTCAGGAAGTGGTTAAAGTCCTAATTCATGAAATAATTCCTAGATTTGGGCTTCCTCAAAGCTTACAAAGTGACAGTGGTCTGGCTTGTAAAGCCACAATAACGCAGGGAATTTCCAGGGCACTAGGGATACAATATCACCTTCACTGCGCCTGGAGGCCATAATCCTCAGGGAAGGGTGAGAAGGCAAATGAAACACACTCAAGAGGCACTTAAGGAAATTAACACAAGAAACTCATCTCACATGGCCTACTGTCTTGCCCATGGCCTTGTTGAGAATACAAAATTCTCCTCAAAAAATGGGGCTCAGTCCAATGAAATGCTGTATAGACGACCTTTTCTCATAAACGACCTCCTACTTGATCAGGAAATGGCCAACTTGGTCAAAGATATAACTTCTTTGGCAAAATATCAATGAAACCTCAAAAACTTACCTGAAGGATGTCACAGAGAAGAGGGAATGGAGTTGTTTCAACTGGGAGATCTAGTATTGGTCAAATCCCTCCCCTCTGCTGCCCCATCTATGGATTCTTTGTGGGAAGGACCATACTCAGTAATCCTCTCTACCCCCACTGCAGTTAAGGTGGCAGGAGTGTAATCTTGGATTCACCACACCCAAGTTAAAGTTTGGACACCCCCTGAGGAAACTGCGGGATCAACAGCTCAGGGGTCCCAAGATCAGCCAGACCAGCCTCGATACACCTGTGAACCATTGGAGGACTTGCATCTCCTATTTCAGAAGGAAACATCCCAGACTAAAAAGGCTTCTACCACTGATCCTGAGGAAAAACCCCTTCCACCTTAAAAAAGATAAGTGAAAACCTACATAATCTTTAACATCTCTCCCTGCTCCTTTAATGGAATCCTTTTACTGTTTCATCATATTAATAAGCAGCATACTAACCATGCTCTTTGCAATAGGACTATATACTGTAGCTCCTGCTGGGATTAAAATCCTAGTCACATCAACCTTCTTTCTATCATCCTTTCTTCTGACAGCAATTTACTCCTACCTTTAACTCAGACTGGATAAAATGATCTCATGTTCCAGGTCGCCCTCTTTACCTTCCTACTTACTCTTTGCCTATCTATCCCTCCCACTTCCTTGGATGCCCCAGACAGTTGCCCCTCCCCTTCCACTAGCTCCTAATTATCTCTACAAGACTTTCAACCCACTCTCTGTTAAACCAGTCCAATCCTTCCCTGGCAAATGACTGTTGGCTTTGTATCTCTCTATCAACCACTGCTTACGTTGCCATTCCTGTTCCTGCAAAAAACTGGGTCTTTACTAATTTAACCTACCACCCTTGTTATGAGGGAAAAGACCCTTCCAACTTCTAAATATGCAATCATTAGCTGACTTCCCCGTCTCTGATAGGACCAAGAATACCCTAATAGGATGTGCAATCCAACTTTTACGTTCTTACATTTCCAACCTCACCTATTACACAAGCAATGAAAAGCCCATACATGGCCCTGTAACCATGAATACCATCTTAACTTTCCAAGCTCCTTTATGCATCCAATACAGCCTGTTATTAGGCCTGCCCCTGGGGCACCTACTATCCCATCAGTGTAATTACACCCTACAACTTCAAGCCCTAACTGATCATAGCAACTTCCAAGTCACCCAAACAGCTCCATTCAAAAGACTTCTCAGGGCCACCAAAAATCATCACCTCCTCCCTGCTTAACAAACAGTCCAGGTTTTGTAATGGCAAACATACTCCCTGCATGACCATTCACCCCCAGACCTCCTGCAGCAGCACCCCCACCACTACTGAATGCCTTCTCATCCCCTCTTTCAATCACTCTCTCAAATGGTTCCTAGTAGATACAAAAAGGTTTTTTCTCCAATGGGAAAATAGAACACAGGGAGCCACTCAGTTTGCTCCCAACACCCCTTTCCAGCTGCTCACTGGAGCTACCTTGGCAAGTACTCTAGGAGTATGAGAAAATGAAAACAACAAACTCACACACCTTGTTAACATACACAACCAGTTCTGTCTACCCAGCCAAGGCATATTCTTCTTATGTGTAATTTCAACCTATATCTGCCTCTCCACCAACTGGACAGGCACCTGCACCTCAGTCTTCCTGAGTCCCAACATTAACATTGCCCCAGGAAATCAGACCCTATCATTTCCACTCAAAGCTCAAGTCCATCAGCACAGGGCCATACGTCTAACACCTCTACTTATAGGGTTAGGAATGCCACTGCTATAGGAACCAGAATAGCCAGTTTATCTACTTCACTATCCTACTACCACACACTCTCAAAAGATTTCTCAGACAGTTTACAAGAAATAACAAAACCTATCCTTACTCTACAATCCCAAATAGACTCTTTGGCAGCAGTGACTCTCCAGAACTGCTGAGGCCTAGACCTCCTCACTGCTGAGAAAGGAGGACTCTGCACCTTCTTAGGGGTGGAGTGTTTCTTTTACACTAACCAGTCAGGGACAGTATGAGATGCCACCGGCCGTTTACAGGAAAAGGCTTCTGAAATCAGACAATGTCTTTCAAACTCTTATGCCAACCTCTGGAGTTGGGAGACATGGCTTCTCCCCTTTCTAGGTCCTGTGACAGCCATCTTGCTATTACTCATCTCACACTTGGGCCTTGTGTTTTTAACCTCCTTGTCAAATTTGTTTCCTCCAGGATTGATGCCATCAAGTTACAGATGGTGTTACAAATGGAACCCCAAGTGAGCTCAACTACAACTTCTATGGAGGACCCCTGGACCAACCCACTGACCCTTTGGCTGGCCTAGAGAATTCCCTTCTGGAAGACACTACCACTGCAGGGCCCCTTCTTCACCCCTATCCAGCAGGATGTAGCTTGAGTGATCATTGCCCAATTCCCAACAGCAGTTGGGGTGTCCTGTTTGTTTAGAGGGGGGATTGAGAGGTGAAGCCAGCTGGACTTCTGGGTCAGGTGGGGACTTGGAGAACTTTTCTGTCTTACAAGAGGATTGTAAAATGCACCAATCAGCACTCTGTAAAAATGCACCAATCAGTGCTCTGTGGCTAGCTAGAGGTTGGTAAAATGGACGAATCAGCACACTGTAAAATGGACCAATCAGTGCTCTGTAAAATGGACCAATCAGCAGGACATGGGCAGGGACAAATAAGGGAATAAAAGCTGGCCACCCCAGCCAGCAGCGGCAACCTGGTTGGGTCCCCTTCCACACTGCAGAAGCTTTGTTCTTTTGCTCTTCACAATAAATCTTGTTGCTGCTCACTCTTCAGGTCCATGCCATCTTTAAGAGCTGTAACACTCACCATGAAGGTCTGCAGCTCCATTCTTGAAGTCAGCGAGACCATGAACCCACCAGAAGGAACCAACTCTGGACACAATGGCTTCATGGCTTTTTTTTTTTTTCTAACAACAGGTAGCATCATCATAGTCTCAATTGCCAATTGCCATGCTCACATGTAATTTGGAATTTGTGAGTTTTCTCATTCTTTATGTTTAGGAAGTATGTACTTCAGGTTTTTAACTATCTCTTTTATCTTTCAGGGCTTGCTTTGTATGTTTTCCAGTAGCACAATTCAGAATTAAGCTGCCATCATTTACCTAATAGATGAAAATATTTCTTCCCTTAGTTTTATATTTCTGCTTTGTTATTCCTTCATAGTGGATAAATTTTAATATTATATATTAATCATATATATATAAACTCATGGTGTAATGTTTGCAGCAATTTCCATCTGCTTTGTGTCTGAGGGTGTTTTATGTCTTCTTCTATAAAAACTTACTCATATTTTATCGGTGTTATGTTGTTTCTTTTGTATTTCTTATGGTGGGAAAGTTGGATTTTCTTGGAAGACCATTTTTCAGGACATTTTTTTGGCTGGGGAGAAAAATGTAGCTTCCAGACATTGTAATCATGAGTTCTGTCTTCTGTTGCTACAGATTCTTCTCACATATGGTACTTTGCTGTATTCCCCTGAGCCAGTTGAACTCCTCTGTTTCCCCAAAGCAAACAACATCTAGAAGGATCTCTGCTTCCAGCCATGTTTTCCCCATTCCCCTGCTGACTACTGCAGTTAAAGAACATGGGCTCTGTTCCAAGGTAGGCTCCTCATTTTCGACAAGTAAATAATTGATAGTGAATTCTGAGACCTGCTGCTGGCATCTCTCTTCCTGTAACCCCCAAGCTCTCAGCCCTGCTTAGACTCAGTTCTCTCTGAGCTCAGCCTTGCTCACAGCATATCCCACTAAAGTTATAGTAGAGTAGCATTGGGCTTTATTGTCAGAATAAAGTTGCCACCTTTGGAAATCTGCCATGCTCAAGCCCCTTGACATTTCTAATGGCATTTTCTATATGTCTTTTGCCAGTTCTCAGATCTTTCTGACAGCTTTACGTGTATTTCGGATTTGGAAGATTTTCCTTTCTCTTAATTTCATTGGAAATGGAGTGTGTAGGATCGTTCCAAGATGGCAGAATAGGAACAGCTCCGGTTGGCAGCTCCCAGTGTAAGTGATGAGGAAGACAGGAGATTTCTGCATTTCCAACTGAGGTATTGTGTTCATCTCATTAGGACTGGTTGGACAGTGTGTGCAGCTCATGGAGAGTGAGTTGAAGCAGGGTGGGGCATCACCTCACCTGGGAAGCACAAAGGGTTGGGGAATTCCCATTCCTAGCCAAGGGAAGCCATGACAGATGGTACCTGGAAAATTGGGACTCCTGCCCTAATTCTGTGCTTTTCCAATGGTCTTAGCAAACAGCACACCAGGAGATTATATCCCATGCAAGCTCAGTGGGTCCCACATCCACGGAGCCTTGCTCACTGCTAGCACAGCAGTCCAAGATTGAACTGTGAGGCAGCAGTGAGGCTGGGGGAGGGGCGTCCACCATTGCTGAAGCTTGACTAGGTAAATAAAGTGGCCAGGAAGCTCAAACTGGGTGGAGCCCACCACAGGTCAACAAGGCCTCCTGCCTCTAGACTCCACCTCTGGGGCCAGACATAGCTGAACAAAAGGCAGCAGACAACTTCCACAGACATAAACATCCCTGTCTGACAGCTATGAAGAGAGCAGTGGTTCTCCCAGCATAGAGTTTGACATCTGAGAATGGACAGACTGCCTCCTCAAGTGGATCCTAAACCCCCGAGTAGCCTAACTGGGAGACATCTCCCAGTAGGGGCCAATTGACACCTCATACACCCAGGTGCCCCTCTGAGATGAAGCTTCCAGAAGAAGGATCAGGCAGCAATGCTTGCTGTTCTGCAATATTTGCTGTTCTGCAGCCTCTACTGGTGATACCCAGGCAAACGGTCTGGAGCGGAACTCCAGCAAAGTCCAACAGACCTGCAGCTGAGGGTCCTGAGGAGGGTCCTAGTTAGAAGAAAAACTAACAAACAGAAGGGAATAGCATCAACATCAACAAAAAGGACATCCAAACCAAAACCCCATATGTAGGTCACCATCATCAAAGACCAAAGGTAGAAAAAACCACACAGATAAGGAGAAACCAGAACAGAAAAGCTGAAAATTCTAAAAACCAGACCACCTCTTCTCCTCCAAAGAATCACAGCTCCTCACCAGCAACGGAAGAAACCTGGATGGAGAATGACTTTAATGAGTTGACAGAAGTGGGCTTTAGAAGATCGGTAATAACAAACTTTTCCGAGCTAAAGGAGAAAGTTTGATCCCATTGCAAAGAAGCCAAAAATCTTGAAAAAAGATTAGAAGAATGGCTAACTACAATAAACAGCATAGAGAAGACCTTAAATGACCTGGTGGAGCTGAAAACCATGGCACTAGAACTATGTGACACATGCATAAGCTTCAGTAGCTGATTTGATCAAGTGGAAGAAAGAGTACCAGTGATTGAAGATCAAATGAATGAAATGAAGTGAGAACAGAAGTTTAGAGAAAAAAGAGTAAAAAGAAATGAACAAAGCCTCCAAGAAATATGGGACTATGTGAAAAGACCAAATCTACATTTGATTGGTGTACCTGAGAGTGATGGGGAGAATGCAACAAGTTGGAAAACACTCTTCAGGATATTATCCAGGAGGACTTCCCCAACATGGCAAAGCAGGCCAACATTCAAATTCAGGAAATACAGAGAATGCCACAAAGATACTCCTCAAGAAGAGCAACCACTAAACACATAATTGTCAGATTCACCAAGGTTCAAATGAAGGAAAAAATGTTAAGGGCAGCCAGAGAGAAAGGTCGGGTTACCCACAAAGGAAAGCCCATCAGACTAATAGCTGATATCTCAACAGAAACTCTACAAGCCAGAAGAGAGTGGGGGCCAATATTCAGCATCTTAAAGAAAAGAATTTTCAACCCAGAATTTCATATCCAGCCAAACTAAGCTTCATAAGTGAAGGAGAAATAAAATCCTTTATAGACAGGCAAATGCTGGGAGATTTTGTCACCAACATGCATGCTTTACAAGAGCTCCTGAAGGAAGCACTAAACATGGAAAGGAACAATCAGTACCAGCCACTGCAGAAACATGACATATTGTAAAGACCACCAATGCTAGGAAGAAACTGCATCAGCTAATGAGCAAAATAACCAGCTAATATCATAATAATATGAGCAAATTCACACATAACAATATTAACCTTAAATGTAAAGGGGCTAAATGCCCCAATTAAAAGACACAGAATGGCAAATTGGATAAAGAGTCAAGACCCATCAGTGTGCTGTATTCAGGAGAACCATGTCACACGCAAAGGCACACATAGGCTCAAATAAAGGGATGGAGGAAGATCTACCAAGTAAATGGAAAACAAAAAAAAGCAAGGGTTGCAATCCTAGTCTCTGATAAAACAGACTTTAAACCAACAAAGATCAAAAGAGACAAAGAAGGCCATATTACATAATGGTAAAGGGATCAATTCAACAAGAAGAGCTAACTATCCTAAACATATAAGCACCCAATACAGGAGCACCCAGATTCATAAAGCAAGTCCTTAGAGATCTAGAAAGAGACTTACACTCCCACACAATAATAATGGGAAAATTTAACACCCCACTGTCAACATTAGACAGATCAATGAGACAGAAAGTTAACAAAGATATCCAGGACTTGAACTCAGCTCTGTGCCAAGCAGACCTAATAGACATTTACAGAACTCTCCACCCCAAATCAAAAGAATATACATTCTTCTCAGCACCATATCTCACTTATGCCAAAATTGATGACATAGTTGGAAGTAAAGCACTCCTCAGCAAATGTAAAAGAACAGAAATCATAACAAACTGTCTCTCAGGCAACAATGCAATCAAATTAGAACTCAGGATTAAGAAACACTCAAAACTGAAAAACTACATGGAAACTGAACAACCTGCTCCTGATTGACTACTGGGTAAATAACAAAATGAAGGCAGAAATAAAGATGTTCTTTGAAACCAATGGGAACAAAGACACAACATGCCAGAATCTCTGAGAAACATTTAAAGCACTGTGTAAAGGGAAATTTATAGCACTAAATGCCCACAAGAGAAAGCAGGAAAGATCTAAAATTGACAACCTTCCATCACAATTGAAAGCACTAGAGAAGCAAGAGCAAACACATTCAAAAGCTAGCAGAAGGTAAGAAGTAACTAAGATCAGAGCAAAACTGAAGGAGATAGAGATGCAAAAAAACTCTTCAAAAAATCTATGTATCCAGGAGCTGGTTTTTTTGAAAAGATCAACAAAATTGATAAACCACTGGCAAGACTAACAAAGAAGAAAAGAGAGAAGAATCAAATAGACACAATAAAAAATGATAAAGGGATATCACCACTGATGCCACAGAAATACAAACTACCATCAGAGAATACTATAAACACCTCTACACAAATAAACTAGAAAATCTAGAAGAAATGGATAAATTCCTGGACACATATACCCTCCCAAGACTGAACCAGGAAGAAGTTGAATCCCTGAATGGGCCAATAACATTCTCTGAAATTGAGGCAATAATTAATAGCCTACCAACCAAAAAAAGTCCAGGAGCAGACAGATTCACAGCTGAATTCTACCAGAAGTACAAAGAGGAACTGGTACCACTTCTTCTGAAACTATTCCAATCAATAGAAAAAGAGGGAATCCTCCCTAACTCATTTTATGAGGCTAGCATCATCCTGATAACAAAGCCTGGCAGAGACATGCAAAAAACCAGAATTTTAGACCAATATCCCTGACGAACATCAATGCAAAAATCCTCAATAAAATACTGGCAAACTGAATCCAACAGCACATCAAAAAGCTTATCAGCCACGATCAAGTTGGCTTCATCCCTGGGATGCAAGGCTGGTTCAACATACAGAATCAATAAATGTAATCCATCGTACAAACAGAATCAAAGACAAAAACCACATGATTATTTCAATAGATGCAGAAAAGGCCTTTGACAAAATTCAACAATTCATGCTAAAAACTCTCAATAAACTAGGTATTGATGAGACATATCTCAAAATAATCAGCTATTTATGACAGAATCACAGCCAGTATCATACTGAATGGACAAAAACTGGAAGAATTCCCTTTGAAAACCTGCACAAGACAGGGATGCCCTCTCTCACCACTCCTATTCAACATAGTGTTGGAAGTTCTGGCCAGGTCACTCAGGCAGGAGAAAGAAATAAAAGGTATTCAGTTAGGAAAATAAGAAGTCAAATTGTCCCTGTTTGCATATGACATGATTGTATATTTAGAAAACCCCATTGTCTCAGCCCCAAATCTCCTTAAGCTAATAAGCAAAGTCTCAGGATAGGAAATCAATGTGCAAAAATCACAAGCATTCCTATACACCAATAACAGACAAACAGAGAGCCAAATCATGAGTGAACTCCCATTCACAGTTGCTTCAAAGAGAATAAAATACCTAGGAATCCAACTTACAAGGGATGTGAAGGACCTCTTCAAGGAGAACTACAAACCACTGCTCAAGGAAATAAAAGAGGACACAAACAAATGGAAGAATATTCCATGCTCATGGGTAGGAAGAATCAATATCGTGAAAATGGCCTTACTGCCCAAGGTAATTTACAGATTCAATGCCATGTCCATCAAGCTACCAATGATTGTCTTCACAAAATTGGAAAAATCTACTTTAAAGTTCATATGGAACCAAGAAAGAGCCCTCATAGCCAAGTCAATCCTAAGCCCAAAGAAAAAAGCTGGAGGCATCACGCTACCTGACTTCAAACTATACTACAAGGCCACAGTGACCAAAGCAGCATGGTGCTGGTACCAAAACAGAGATATAGACCAATGGAACAGAATAGAGCCCTCAGAAATGATACCACACATCTACAGCCATCTGATCTTTGACAAACCTGACAAAAACAAGAAATGGAGAAAGGATTCCCTATTTAACAAATGGTGCTGGGAAAATGGCTAGCCATATGTAGAAAGCTGAAATTGAATCCCTTCCTTACACCTTGTAAAAAAATTAATTCAACATGGATTAAAGACTTAAATCAGACCTAAAACCATAAATACCCTAGAAGAAAGCCTAGGCAATACCATTCAGGACATAGGCATGGGTAAGGACTTCATGAGTTAAATACCAAAAGCAACGGCAACAAAAGCCAAAAAAGACAATGGGATCTAATTAAATTAAAGAGCTTCTGCACAGCTAAAGAAACTACCATCAGAGTGAATAGGTAACCTACAGAATAGGAGAAAATTTTTACAATCTACCCATTTGGCAAAGGGCTAATATCCAGAATCTACAAAGAACTTAAACAAATTTACAAGAAAAAAATCAAAAAACCCCATCAAAATGTGGGCAAAAGATATGAACAGATATTTCTCAAAAGAAGACATTTATGTAGCCAACAGACATATTAAAAAATGCTCATCATCACTGGCCATTAGAGAAATGCAAATAAAAACCACAATGAGATACCATCTCACACCAGTTAGAATCGCAATCAATTAAAAAGTCAGGAAACAACAGATACTGGAGAGGATGTGGAGAAATAGGAACACTTTTATACTGTTGGTGGGAGTGTAAACTAGTTCTACCATTGCAGAAGACAGTGCGGCAATTCCTCAAAGATTTAGGACTAGAAATACCATTTGACCCAGCAATCCCTTTACTGGGTATATACCCAAAGGATTATAAATCATGCTGTTATAAAGACACATGCACATGTATGTTTATTGTGGCACTATCCACAATAGCAAAGACTTGGAAGCAACCCAAATGTCCATCAGTGATAGACTGGATTAAGAAAATGTGGCACATACACACCATGGAATACTATGCAGCCATAAAAAAGGATGCATTCATGTCCTTTGTAGGGACATGGATGAAGCTGGAAACCATCATTCTGAACAAACTATTGCAAGGACAGAAAACTAAACACCTCATGTTCTCACTCATAGGTGGGAATTGAACAATGAGAACACTTGAACACAGAGTGGGGAATACCACACACTGAGGCCTGTTGTGGGGTAGGGGGAGGGGGGAGGGATAGCATTAGGAGAAATGCCTAATGTAAATGACGAGTTAATGGGTGCAACACAGCAATATGGCACATGTATACATATGTAACAAACCTGCACGTTGTGCACATGTACCCTGGAACTTAAAGTATAATAAAAAATAAAAATAAAAATAAATAAAAAGAAAACGGAGTGTGTGTGTGTGAGACATTTTTATTTTCCATGTTTCCTGGAATGTTTTTCAATTTGTTCAAAATATTCCTTAGAATTAGCACCTCTTCTTAACTACTTTCTTGTTGATAAAGAAGTGATTATGCCTTTAAAACTGTTACATCTAAATACTCTGTTAATTTCTGCTGTTATTCCTATACAACATAGAACTTCTTCCAATTCACAGTGCTTATTCTTGGTTATCTTCATAAGATTTATAGTACACTAACTTTTAACATGCAACTTTTCCTGTAGAAGAAATTAGAGCCATCCCTGTTCATGAAAATTCTGTTGTTTTGAATTAAACGTTACATCTGCAAAATCTTGTGTTTCTAACCTCAGTTAATTAACAATGGTATTTCAGAAAATATATATTGATATGCTGTTCCTGAGGGATTTAAATTGTAAAAGAGTATTAACTTTGAATAGGCATTTAAATCTCATATTTTGTTTCTTTTTAACGGAAAAGAAAAGTCAAGAAATTAACTTATGTGTCTGTCCTGCATGATTATCAGGGACCACAGTACGAAAGGGGATTATAATGCAAGATGTAAATTTTAAAAGCGATCTCTTGGAATTCACTGTATTTTAGCAATTATACTTTCCTCCGCAAGAAAGAACTGATCTTCCATAAGCTTCTATCACTTTATAAAACCAAAAAGCATGGTGGCCTGCTATGGTAGAGAAAAAATTTACTGGTTGGGTAATCATAAAGATTTTATTTAGACGGGATCATGGCAGGCGGGAGGCAGGACTAGATTGCCCGTCTGGGGAGTGCAGCATACGGAGGCTTGCATTGTAAATTTTAGCTTCAAATCGACTTCAAGAACAAACCGGCAATTCCAAGAGGACCCACAGGTCCTCTGAAGGAAGTGGACTGCTCCTGCATGACCTGAGAGACATCCCAAATTCTGTGAGTGCCACAGCTGCGTAAGTGGGAAAAGGAGACCCTTCTCTCCTGAGCACACACCTCCACTGGAGAATCTGAAGGTCCATTTGCAGAAGTTTCTGACTTTATCTGGAGCCAAGTCAAGTTAGAGAGCCAAACCAAGTGAAATACAGGGGTAGAGGGATGCAGCAGAAAGGCCTTGGGAGCTCGCTGAGTCCCCAAGCAGTCCATTCCTGCCTGGCACCACAGGGATCCATTGGGAGAGTGGCCAGAGGAGCAGTGGGTAAAACTCCACAGGGAGAAGGAATTCTGTAGCTGAACTTTGTAACAATTTGAAGGGGGGAAGAAGCCTCCTGGTCAGAACTCAGGGGAGGGTGTGAATGAGGCTTGCAGACTTCACAGGCCAGGGAAGAACTAAAACCCTTTTCTCTCACAGCTGGGAAGTGGATAGCCTTGGGCAAGTTTTCAAGCCTGTCTCATCCTCTGCCAGGGAACAGACTTGTGCTGTTGTGGGGGGTGGGGAACACTGTGGGAGTGAGACTGGCCCTTCAGTTTGTGTGGAATCCGGATAAGGCCTGTGATTGCCAGCTTTCCCCTACTTTCTTGACAACCTGCATAACTCAGCAGAGGCAGCTGTAATCCTCCTAGGTACACAACTCCAGTGACCTGAGAATTTCACCTCATCCCCCACAGTAGCAGCAGCAAGACCCACCCAAGGAGAGTCTGCGCTCAGACACGCTTAGCCCCGCCCCCACCTGTCGGTCCTTCCCTATTCACCCTGGTAGCAGAAGACAAAAGGCATATAATCTTGGAAGTTCTAGGGTCCCACTCACTGCTGGCCCCTCTCCACACTACTACAGCTGAAGCTTTCTGGAAAGTGCCACCTCCTGGTAGGAGGCCAACCAGCACAAAAATAGAGCATTAAACCACCAAAGCTAAGGACCCTCATGGGGTCCATTGCACTCTCTGCCACCTCCATAGGAACAGGCGCTGGTATCCATGGCTGAGGGACCATAGATAGTTCACATCACAGGACTTTGTGCAGTACCAGCATGGAGCCGGGTAGACTCGCTAAGTGGCTAGACCCAGAAGAACAACAACAGTCACTGCAATTCAGCTCACAGAAAGCCACAATCATAGGAAAAGGGGGAGAGTACTACCTCAAGGGAACACTCCATGGGACAAAAGAATCTGAACAACAGCCTTCAGCCCCAAACCTTCCCTGTGACAGAGCCTACCAAAATGAGAAGGAAACAGAAAACCATCCCTGGTAATATGACAAAACAAGTCTCTTCAACACCTCTAAAAATCACACTAGTTCACTAGCAATGGATCAAAGGCAGAAAAAATCCCTGATTTACCTGAAAAATAATTCAGGAGGTTACTTATTAAGCTAATCAGGGAGGGGACAGAGAAAGGTGAAACCCAATGCAAGGAAATCCAAAAAATGATACAAGAAGTGAAAGGAGAAATATTTATGGAAATAGATAGCTTAAAGAAAAAACAGTAAAAAATTCAGGAAGTTTTGGGCACACTTTTAGAAATCCAACATGCTCTGGAAAGTCTCAGCAATATAACTGAACAAGTAGAAGAGAGGAATTCAGAGCTTGAAGGGATAAGGACATGAATAGACAATTCTCAAGAGAAGATATACAAATGGCAAACAAACATATGAAAAATGCTCAGCATCACTAATGATCAGGGAAATGCAAATCAAAACCACAGTGAGAATAGACTTACTCTTACTCTTGCAAGAATGGCCATAATAAAAATAAAAATAAAAAACAGCAAATGTTGGCATGGATGCGGTGATCAGGGAGCACTTCTACAATATTTGTGGGAATGTAAACTAGTAGAGACATTATGGAAAACAGTATGGAGATTTCTTAAAGAACGAAAAGTAGAACTACCATTTGATCCAGCAATCCCACTACTGGGTATCTATCCAGAAAAAAAGAAGTCATTATTCGAAAAAGATACTTGCACATGGATGTTTATAGCAGCACAATTCACAATTGCAAAATCGTGGAACCAATCCAAAAGCCAACCCATCAATCAACAAGTGGATAAAGAAACTGTGGTGTGTGTGTGTGTGTGTGTGTGTGTGTGTGTGTGTGTGTGTATAAAATGGAATACTACACAGCCATAAAAAGAATGAATTAACGACATTTGCAGTGACCTGGATGAGATTGGAGACTATTATTCTAAGTGATGTAACTCAGGAATAGAAAACCAAACATCATAAACATCATATGTTCTCACTGATACATGGGGGCTAAGCTATGAGGATGCAAAGGCATAAAGATGATACAATGGACTTTGGAGACTTGGGGGGAAGAGTGGGAGGGGGTAGAGGGATAAAAGACTACAAATATTTTCCAGTGTATACCGCTGGGGTTATGGGTGTACCAAAATATCACAAATCACCACTAAAGAGCTTACTCATGTAACCAAATACCATCTGTACCCCAATAACTTATGAAAAAAATGTAAAAAGATGTTAATTAATGTTACTGAATCTCACTCTTATCTGTAAAATAGGATTGAGAAGAATATTTCACATTAATTTATGTTGAAGATTATAAAAACAAAATTTTATGTGTATTGTAAAACATATAGTCTATTTTTTAAGTGGTAATTATTATTTGGCAGAATGTGGTAAAAGGAACACTTATAGGAAAAGTGGCTGTAGGTATTGGATGTTGTGATGTGCTATCCAACTTCCCTGCTTGGTGACGGTGGAACTCCTTCTTCTAGCTGCAGGGACTTTTGGCTGATAACAGATCAGAGCTAATCCTAGTGACTGATTGATAAGGATTTCAAAGGCCCAGCCCCCCTGCCTTAGTGTGGCATCTCTGAGGGCTGTCCTGGCTCCAGATGTCCCTATGTGGTTGGCTGAGGCCCCTGCTGCAACTGCATTGAAGTTCAACTTCTCCCTTTGCCCAATCTTTCTTTATTCTCTCTCTCATGAGTGCTGCTTCTGAGGATATTCCCCAAGAAACTTCCTATAACCAAATCTGTCTCAAGAGTCTGTGCCCAGGGCATTCACCTATGAGCATGTGACTTGAAGAATGCTGAAATTTCTCCCCCTGCTGGCCTACATGAATGTCAAATATTAGTGTCAACCGCTCATTCATTCAACACTCACTTCTCTTTGTTGACAACCTGCTACATGTCAAGCGCATCTTTTTCAGTTTTCTTAAACTAGAAAGTTCCTCATTCTAGTTAGAGAGTCCCTACTTTAAGAGTCCCTACTCTTAAATAGGGCCAAAACATTCTAACATGTTGACAGCAGTGAGAATTTCTGATTGTCTATTACAAGGTGTCAGCTAGTAGGAAACTTTCTGTCAGGTTTACTAGAAATCATTTGCTAAGTAAAAGAAATATACATTTGATTTATATTGAGAAAAAATAATGTAACAGCATGAATAAATTATGAAAATATGCAAGTATAACACAGGCAGTACATTAGAATAACAGATGCAAACTTGTTTTGTGAATTATGAGGTTATTCTCAAATTATGTGTGATTTTATTCTCAAGCTGTTCATTATATCTTTTCTCCTATTTCATTTTATTTGAAAGCATGTTTTTCTAAGTGGGAACTGGTTTATGCTCTAAAATTAGAGGCAGCAGGGTGAAATGAGAACATGAGTTTTAGTGTAAAAAAGATTTGGGGCTGAATTCATTTACCATTTTATAATTGTGAACTTGGGGAAATTACCTTGTTTTTGAAGCTTGGCTTTCTTGTAAGTTCAATGAGGATACTAATACCTACTCAGTAGGATTTTAAGATAATTAAACAAAAGTATATGTGTAGAAAGAACAATGTCACTTTAAAAGAATTCAATGAATAAAGATAATTATTGTTATTATCATAGTATCTTGTTCATATACGATGCTCATCATTTGATAAACTTCATTACACAATTAAATGCATTACCAATACCTGGGAATTCAGGATTCCCAAATGATCATCTGAGAGGTCACATAACAGAAAATTCTCATGTAGACCAACTAATTCAATACTGTGAGAATTAAATGAGTTGATATAAGCACATGCCCAAAATCAGCTTTTTATGGTGCTTAATGAGTATGTCCTTTAAATAGTACTTTGTTAAACACATAGTTGCTTAAATATTTCTTGTTCTAAATAAACATTTTGTTCTATTGTTAAAATTATTGGTCTGCTTTCAGTTACAATAGCGTGGGTCTTACAACTCTTATCTGTTTACAAGGAAGGCAAATTTTCTAAAAAATTGTTCTAACTTGGTGCCAGATAAGTGAACTATGTTTATGTCTATGTATTGAAAACAAAACAATAAAAATAAAATAGAAAAATTATTGAACATAACTTTGACGAAAATAGAACTTTAAAAGAATTGTAGTTCGTACATTTTTCTGACTTCTACATCAACTAATACTGTATTTGAGTTTTCTAATACGGAAAAGCTATCTTGAATATACCTAAGATGGATCTAGACCAAATGCTTCAATGTAGACCAAAAGTGAGGCTCAGTTCATTTTGAAGGTGCCAGATGAAAAAAAATAGATTTCTTTTTAGTGTTCTTCCTACCTTGGGAGTTTTGAGATATTTTCTAGAATGCTATTTCTAGTAAATACAAGGGAAAGACCTTGGTGCACTTTGATAGTGCCATGCTAGTCACAGTTCTGAACTAAAAACTTAGATATGGCATCATGCCAGGACCACCTTGAAATATATGACAAATGCATTAGCTTGGAGCAAGAGAGATTCATATATCTTAATTTTCTAATATTTTAAAACTCTGGTGTGGCATGGAAAATAAATGATTTCATAGCAATCCTGAGAATTTTTCATTTTACCTGGGTCACATTTGTAATAGTTGCCAAAGAAGAAAAAAAGTCTTTATAATATGTGTGTACATGCGGTTATGGCTTTAATTTCCAACCTTTGGATGACTATTACAATTCTGGTTAGGCTACAGCAAAGTAGCAGAATCATCATGGAGAGGATATCCCACTCTACACTTTGGGGGGTGTCATAAGGCAGGTGAGGGACCTGGAAAATGCCATGGTTCTTGTTATGGGGGAGCCTGTGTCATAAAATGACAGTGAGAGCCACAACAGGAATCCCATGTGAGTACAGCTAATATAGAATTTGTCTACTTGTGGCAATGGCTTCCTTTAGTAAGGTCAAATTCACAGAAAAGAAAAGCAAATGTGAATCTTGCATCTTTGTTATAAGTGTTATAGCTAGTTAGCTGTGCTCCTTTAGGCAAGTCACTTTAAGTATTCATGACTGCTCTACCAAGGGCGGGGGCATAATATAGTTAGAAGGACGTTGAAAAACATAAAGTGCCACATAAACCTAAGTTATTGCCATTTATAATTTAATTCATTTTTAGAAACTTTTAAATGTCAAAGATATTTACATGTTTAATTTTCTTCTAACATAGTGTTGAGAATACCATTTCCAAGGTAGAGGCAGAAGAGAGTTTCCTTTCTGATCCTAGAAATCTTTTTCATGAATTGCTAATGGAGATGCTATCAGAGAGGCTGTATGACTGGTTCCAAAGTTTTTTTGTTTTGTTTTGTTTTTCAACTTTTATTTTAAGTTCTGGGGTACATGTGCAGAATATACAGGTTTGTTACATAGGTAAACGTGTGGGTCCAGGCATTGGGTAAATACACCCCATTCCTTGTGGGAGAAATTGGCCAAAACAAAGGGACTACAGGCCCCATGTGAGTTAGAAATCCAGCAGGGCAGTCAAATCTTAAAGCTCCAAAATGATCTCCTTTGACCCCAGGTCTCACATCCAGGTCATACTGATACAAAAAGTGGGCTCCCATGGTCTTGAGCAGCTCCACCACTGTGGCTTTGCGGGGTACAGCCCGCCTCATGGCTGCTTTAATGGGCTGGTTGGTATTGGGTGCTTGTGGCTTTTCCAGATGCACACTGCAAGCTGTTGGTGGATCTGCCATTCTAGGGTCTAGAGGATGGTGGCCCTCTTCTCACAGCTCCATTAGGCAGTCCCCATTAGGGCACTTCTCACAGCTCCATTAGGCAGTGGGGACTCTGTGGGGGCTCCAGCCCCACATTTCCCTTCTTCATGGGCATAGCGGAGATTCTCCTTGAGGGCTCTGCCCCTGCAGTAAGCTTTTGCCTGGACATTCAGGCCTTTCCATACATCCTCTGAAATCTAGGTGGAGGTTCCCACACCTCAGTTCTTGACTTCTGTGCACCAAAAGGCCCAACACCACATGGAAGCTACCAAGGCTTGGGGCTTTTAACTTCTGAAGCAATAGTCTGAGCTATATGTTGGCTCCTTTTAGCCATGGCTAGAGCAGCTGGGATGCAGTCTTGAGGGTGCACAGAGCAGGGAGTCCTTGACCCCGCCAGAAAATCATTTTTTCCTCCTAGACCTCCAGACCTGTAATGGGAGGGGCTGCCATGAAAGTCTGTGACATGCCTTGGGGACATTTTTCCCATTGTCTTGGTGATTAACATTTGACTCCTTATTTATGCAAATTTCTGCAGCCAGCTTGAATTTCTCTCCAGAAAAATGGTTTTTCTTTTCTATCACATCATCAGGCTGCAAATTTTCCAAACTTTTGTCCTCTGCTTCCTCTTGAATGCTTTGTCATTTAGAAATTTCTTCCACCAGATACCCTAAATCATCTCTCTCAAGTTCAAAGTTCCAAAGATCTCTAGGGCAGGGGCAGAATGCTGCCAGTCTCTGCATAACAAGAGTGACATTTAGTCCAGTTCCCAACAAGTTCCAACTGAGACCACCTCAGCCTGGACTTTATTGTTCATATCACTATCAGCATTTTGGTCAAAGCCATTAAGCAAATCTCTGGGAAGTTCCAAACTTTCACATTTTCCTGTCTTCTTCTGAGCCTTCCAAACTGTTTCAATCTCTGCTTGTTACCCAGTTCCAAAATCACTTTCACATTTTCAGGTATCTTTACAGCAGCTCCCCACTACTTGCTACCAATTTATGTATAAGTCCACTCACATGCTGCTAATAAAAACACATCTGAGACTGGGTAATTTATAAAATAAATAAGTTTAATTGACTCATAGCTCAGCATGGCTGGGGAGTCCTCAGGAAACTTTCAATCATGGTGGAAGGGGTAGCAAACACATCCTTCTTCATATGATGCAAGAAGGAGAAGTGCTGAGCAAAAGGGGTAAAAGCTCCTTATAAAACCATCAGATCTCGTGGGAACTCACTCAGTATCATGAGAGCACCAGGATGAGGGTAACTGCTCCTATGACTCAGTTACCTCCCACTTGGTTCCTCCTGTGACATGTTGGCATTATGTGTACTACAATTCAAGACAAGATTTGGGTGGGGACTCAGCAAAACCATATCACCAGACATATTATTTCTGAGGAATTATTTGACAAGCAATTATTTGCATTCAAAGGAGACAGGCAGTTGATGATGCTGATATATTTTGCTGAAGCTTGGATAACTGAGAGAATGAATGGTGAAGGCGTTTGCAGAATGGCATTTCTCCTAGGTGAAGCCTAGAAGACAGAGGTTGAAAATAATGAGTGTTTCAGAGACCTCGGGTATTATACTGAAAATAGATGATTTAAATAAAGATGTATATATTAAACATTGACACTTTGTTATTTTCTCCTACTTTGCTCTAAGTATGATGAACCCAGCACCACAACTTTCAATCCAGGGAACAATTGAGAATTAATTTTTTTTTATTATTATTGAGACAAAGTCTCACTCTATTGCCAGACTGGAACACAGTGGCACATCACGGCTCACTGTAACCTTAAACTCCTGGGCTCGTGTGTTACTCCTGCCTCAGTCCCTCAAGTAGCTGGGAGTACAGGAATGTACCATCACAACTGGCTGTGTTTTATTTTTTGTAGAGACAGAGTTTCACTGTGTTGCCCAGGCTGATCTCAAACTCCTGACCTCAAGTGATATTACCTCAGCCTTCTAAAGTGTGGGATTACAGATGTGAGCCATCACACCTGGCCTATGAGTCTTTCTTAATGAAACTGATGAGATCTACGGATATGACTATTTTGAGGATGCCCCAACAAAGGACAAGGTTTCTTACTGATCTCTCCAATATGTAGTGTACCACAGCCCATTTAATTAGATATTGCTTCTAGTAAGCTTGAACAAGAATTTACTCTTAAATATCACAGGATGACAAAATATTACTTTATATTTTGGGCAACTGTCGAACAATAACAACAATAATAAAATCAGACAAAACAAACAAATGACAAAAGAAATTCAGAGAAGACAGTTTGAATACAAGCACCAGAAGAAAAATGCAAAGACACCTGTAACTAATATCCTTGGAATGAAAAGAGAATATGTGGAATATAAAAACGTGGAAGAGGATACTATTAAAATAAATTGTCAACAAAAATTTTTTTTAGGAATAAAATGTTTGGAAATGTTAAATCTAACAGCAAAAATACAATAGAAAACATTTTCCAGAAAATAAAAAGAAAAGGCAAGAAGGTTCAAAATCCAAATGGTAAGATTTCCAGAAAGTGGTTGAGAAAATTATTAAAGAAAAAATCCAAGATTTTAAATAAATTTCCCCAAACAGTAAGCAGAACAGTAAGTTGTGGACTGAAGGCCCAGTGAATATCCAGTTAAATCAATGGAAACAAGGCAATGGCAAATAGATTCCTATTATGAAAGTATTGTCTGCCACACAGTGATCTTTTAGTTATTGTCCACTATAGCAGAGAATGATCAGACATTTGTCCCATTATTTTAGTTCTTTTTTGTTGTTGTTAGAATGTAGCAATGAGGACATGAGATAATTAAAGGCAGTGCAATAGTAGTTAAAAACTTAGTCTTGGATTTTTATATATCTGAATTAAAATACTCAGTCTAGAGAGTGAAACATCTGAATTCTCAAAAAATGTTTGCTATTTATATTAATAGTAGATATTTTCCTTTCATGTTAATTGATAACTGCTTAACAGTTTGATTTGAATATAATTCATAACTTGTTTCTGTTATGATGTATATCAGGAAATAAAGATTTCGACAATAATAGCTAAAAATATTAAATACATATTTACATATTATATTGGTGTTGGTTTTGATGCTGCTTTGTTAATATTCCTTAATCAGATGTTATTTTAGTTTATTTTCTGAGCTTATAATAAGAATAATACACTACAATTGAGCACATTTGTCCTCACCACTCATATTTGTGATTGAACTTCTAGTACATTTTCCATTTCATTAATGTGTATCACAATTGATTTACCACCTCTAGGAAAAAAATTGCATATGATCATATTGTGTTTGGAAATTTAACACATCTTTCTCTCCTGGCATTGGAATGCTTGGAACATGTATAACAATAGGACAATATCTATGTCAAAAAGAGAATCAGTTGAAGCCCCTTGATGTTACCAGTTCTGGACTGTTTAACTTCTAGACTTTTTAAATGGGAAAACCAAGACAAAGCAAACACATAAAAACCATTTAGTGGATTTAAACCTTTGTTAGGTTTTTTATTATGCTTGCAGCATAATTCTTTTCCTAATACAACTAGTCTTAATTTATAGTAATATCTGAATTACTGTATTCACGACATAGTTTTATTGTCTTACACTAGTCAATAAAACTTATTGTTTCCTAAGGGATCCATACTATGGAAAACAAATAGTGAGTAAATTGGAAAATGTCTTTGATTTAGAAAAGGTCATTAAACTCATTTCTCTGCTTTGGATCTTAGCCCAGCTACTGGACCTTGAGTCTAAGTTCAGTAGCTAAACCTCTGTCACCTTGAATAATAATAGATAGGACATTCATGCATGTATTTAATGAAAATATATTTGTGTATGTTTAACAGAGTGTTTACTTTGTTAGGTTTGGTATAGCATAATACTAGTTTTGTAAAACATATTCAGTAATATTTCATTTTTTTATATGTTGTGAAGCATTCACATAGAATAGGGATAACCTATTTCTTAAAAATGTGGGAAAATTTCTCTACAAATATATCTGAGTCCTACATTGCCCTTGGAGTTTATTCTTTGAGACTGTTTCTTATTTTCTCATGGTTTTGTTCTATTTAGTTTCAATCTCTCCTTGAGATTATTTTGATATTTTAGATTTTATTTTTTAATTTCTAATTTTATTCTTCAAATTTGTAATTTCCTAAATAGAATTCATTAATCGTCTGTAAACAATAAAAATTTATACAGCTTATATAATTTTCAAATTGCCTTTCATATGGTTGTGTTTCATTTTTATGATAATCAATGTTATAGTTTTGTAAAACTGAATATTTTATAAATTTCATTTGCTTTTAAAGGTAGCTCTAACATAGAGAAAGTTCCACAATAGGTAGTTCAAGGACGTCTAACTCCTTCCAGATTTCTGGTTTCCTGTAATTAGCACATAATTTTCAACCCACTGTTTAACCCAAAATAGTTTCTGGAAACCCAGACACTCTTCACAATTGAGTTCAAGGCAGAAAGCGAAAACAAGAGGGAATGTAAAAAGGGAAGCTCCAGGCAATACATCCCCCTTACATTTCATTGGCCTCCACCATTTTCAAGTGTAGCTGGGAAATGTAGTTTAGTAACTGGGCATATTGCTCAAGTTGTTAGTAAAGAAGGGGAGGATGGCAATTGGGTAGGCAGTTCTCAGTGTCTGCCACACTAAGACAAATAAACAAATAAATAAATAAATAAATAAGCAAACAAACAAATAAAATTGTGCATACCACCTAGTCCAAGTTATGGGAAGATCTATTGGGAAGAATGCTTGAAGTAATTTATTACTGGTTCCTTAGCTTTCAAAGATAAAATTAAGATTGTTCAAGTGCAATTAACAAAATTTTACACTGCTAAACATCATTAAGTATTGCAGCAGAATTGCAGTGACAGTTGTAGTTTAGAAACCAAAATTTGTTATGTTCATTTCTTTTTTGGCCTATAATAAGCATTAATAAATTAATTTTTCTTCATTACAGAGTTGGCTATATCTTAGTCTTTGTTTTTTATTTCCAGTTGTGTGTTCTCATTGGTTTAGTTTTTCTCTCAAACATAAAAAACACATTGTTTCACTAATACTCTTCTCAGGATAACAAAATGAAATATAGGTAGTTTCTTTTTCTTTTTTTTTTAAATTATACTTTAAGTTTTAGGGTACATGTGCACAATGTACAGTTTAGTTACATATGTATACATGTAACATGCTGCTGGTGCGCTGCACCCACTAACTCGTCACCTAGCATTAGGTATATCTCCCAATGCTTTCCTTCCCCCTCCCCCCACCCCACAACAGTCCCCAGAGTGTGATGTTCCCCTTCCTGTGTCCATGTGTTCTCATTGTTCAATTCCCACCTATGAGTGAGAACATGCGGTGTATGGTTTTTTGTTCTTGTGATAGTTTACTGAGAATGATGATTTCCAATTTCATCTATGTCACTACAAAGGACATGAACTCATCATTTTTGATGGCTGCATAGTATTCCATGGTGTATATGTGCCACATTTTCTTAATCTAGTCTATCATTGTTGGACATTTGGGTTGGTTCCAAGTCTTTGCTGTTGTGAATAGTGCCGCAATAAACATATGTGTGCATGTGTGTTTATAGCAGCATGATTTATAGTCCTTTGGGTAGATACCCAGGAATGGGATGGCTGGGTCAAATGGTATTTCTAGCTCTAGATCCCTGAGGAATCGCCACACTGACTTCCACAATGATTGAACTAGTTTACAGTCCCACCAACAGTGTAAAAGTGTTCCTATTTCTCCACATCCTCTCCAGCACCTGTTGTTTCCTGACTTTTTAATGATTACCATTCTAACTGATGTGAGATGATATCTCATTGTGGTTTTGATTTGCATTTCTCTGATGGCCAGTGATGGTGAATATTTTTTCATGTGTATTTTGGCTGCATAAATGTCTTCTTTTGAGAAGTGTCTGTTCATGTCCTTCGCCCACTTTTTGATGGGGTTGTTTGTTTTCTTCTTGTAAATTTGTTTGAGTTTATTGTAGATTCCGGATATTAGCCCTTTGTCAGATGAGTAGGTTGTGAAAATTTTCTCCCATTTTGTAGATTGCCTGTTCACTCTGATGGTAGTTTCTTTTGCTGTGCAGAAGCTCTTTAGTTTAATTAGATCCCATTTGTCAATTTTGGCTTTTGTTGCCATTGCTTTTGGTGTTTTAGACATGAAGTCCTTGCTCGTGCCTCTGTCCTGAAGGGCAATGCCTAGGTTTTCTTCTAGGGTTTTTATGGTTTTAGGTCTAACGTTTAAGTCTTTAATCCATCTTGAATTAATTTTTGTATAAGGTGTAAGGAAGGGATCCAGTTTCAGCTTTCTACATATGGCTAGCCAGTTTTCCCAGAACCATTTATTAAATAGAGAATCCTTTCCCTATTGCTTGTTTTTCTCAGGTTTGTCAAAGATCAGATGGATGTAGATATGTGGCATTATTTCTGAGGGCTCTGTTCTGTTCCATTGGTCTATATCTCTATTTTGGTAGCAGTACCATGCTGTTTTGGTTACTGTAGCCTTGTAGTATAGTTTGAAGCCAGGTAGCGTGATGCCTCCAGCTTTGTTCTTTTGGCTTAGGATTGACTTGGCAATGTGGGCTCTTTTTTGGTTCCATATGAACTTTAAAGTAGTTTTTTCCAATTCTGTGAAGAACGTCATTGGTGGCTTGATGGGGATGGCATTCAATGTCTAAATTACCTTGGGCAGTATGGCCATATTCACGATATTGATTCTTCCTACCCATGAGCATGGAATGTTCTTCCATTTGTTTGTGTCCTCTTTTATTTCATTGAGCAGTGGTTTGTAGTTCTCCTTGAAGTGGTCCTTCACATCCCTTGTAAGGTGGATTCCTAGGTATTTTATTCTCTTTGAAGCAATTGTGAATGGGAGTTCACTCATGATTTGGCTTTCTGTTTGTCTGTTATTAGTGTATAAGAATGCTTGTGATTTTTGTACATTGATTTTGTATCCTGAGACTTTGTTGAAGTTGCTTATCAGCTTAAAGAGATTTTGGGCTGAGACAGTGGGGTTTTCTAGATATACAATCATGTCATCTGCAAACAGGGACAATTTGACTTCCTCTTTTCCTAGTTGAATACCCTTTATTTCCTTCTCCTGCCTAATTGCCGTGGCCAGAACTTCCAACACTATGTTGAATAGGAGTGGTGAGAGAGGGCATCCCTGTCTTGTGCCAGTTTTCAAAGGGAATGCTTCCAGTTTTTGTCCATTCAGTATGATATTGGCTGTGGGTTTGTCATAGATAGCTCTTATTATTTTGAGATATGTCCCATCAATACCGAATTTATTGAGAGTTTTTATCATGAAGCATTGTTGAATTTTGTCAAAGGCCTTTTCTGCATCTATTGAGATAATCGTGGTTTTTGTCTTTGGTTCTGTTTATATGCGGATTACATTTATTGATTTGCATATATTGAACAGCCTTGCATCCCAGGGATGAAGCCCACTTGATCATGGTGGATAAGCTTTTTGATGTGCTGCTGGATTCAGCTTGCTAGTATTGTATTGAGGATTTTTGCATCAATGTTCATCAAGGGTATTGGTCTAAAATTATGTTTTTTGGTTGTGTCTCTGCCAGGCTTTGGTATCAGGATGTTGCTGGCCTCATAAAATGAGTTAGGGAGGATTCCCTCTTTTTCTATTGATTGGAATAGTTTCAGAAGGAATGGTACCAGCTGTTCCTTGTACCTCTGATAGAATTCAGCTGTGAATTCATCTGGTCCTGGACTTTTTTTGGTTGGTAAGCTGTTAATTATTGCCTCAATTTCAGAGCCTGTTATTGGTCTATTCAGAGATTCAACTTCTTCCTGGTTTAGTCTTGGGAGAGTGTATGTGTCGAGGAATTTATCCATTTCTTCTAGATTTTCTAGTTTATTTGCATAAAGCTGTTTGTAGTATTCTCTGATGGTAGTTTGTATTTCTGTGGGATTGGTGGTGATATCTCCTTTATCATTTTTTATTTTGTCTATTTGATTCTTCTCTCTTTTTTTCTTTATCAGTCTTGCTGGCAGTCTATCAATTTTGTTGATCCTTTCAAAAAACCAGCTTCTGGATTCGTTAATTTTTTGAAGGGTTTTTTGTGTCTCTATTTCCTTCAGTTCTGCTCTGATTTTAGTTATTTCTTGCCTTCTGCTAGTTTTTGAATGTGTTTGCTCTTGCTTCTCTAGTTCTTTTAATTGTGATGTTAGGGTGTCAATTTTGGATCTTTCCTGCTTTCTTTTGTCGGCATTTAGTGCTATAAATTTCCCTCTACACACTGCTTTGAATGTGTCCCAGAGATTCTGGTATGTTGCGTCTTTGTTCTCGTTGGTTTCAAAGAACATCTTTATTCCTGCCTTTGTTTCGTTATGTACCCAGTAGTCATTCAGGAGCAGGTTGTTCAGTTTCCATGTAGTTGAGCGGTTTTGAGTGAGTTTCTTAATCCTGAGTTCTAGTTTGATTGCACTGTGGTCTGAGAGACAGTTTGTTATAATTTCTGTTTTTTACATTTGCTGAGGAGAGCTTTACTTCCAACTATGTGGTCAATTTTGGAATAGGTGTGGTGTGGTGCTGAAAAAAATGTATATTCTGTTGATTTGGGGTGGAGAGTTCTGTAGATGTCTATTAGGTCCACTTGGTGCAGAGCTGAGTTCAATTCCTGGGTATCCTTGTTGACTTTCTGTCTCGTTGATCTGTCTAATGTTGACAGTGGGGTGTTAAAGTCTCCCATTATTATTGTGTGGGAGTCTAAGTCTCTTTGTAGGTCATTCAGGACTTGCTTTATGAATCTGGGTCCTCCTGTATTGGGTGCATATATATTTAGGATAGTTAGTTCTTCTTGTTGAATTGATCCCTTTACCATTATGTAATAGCCTTCTTTGTCCCTTTTGATCTTTGTTGGTTTAAAGTCTCTTTTATCAGAGACTAGGATTGCAACCCCTGCCTTTTTTTGTTTTCCATTTGCTTGGTAGATCTTCCTCCATCCTTTTATTTTGAGCCTATGTGTGTCTCTGCATGCGAGATGGGTTTTTCATCTTCCATCGCTGTTACCCTTTCTTCCAGTTGATTGCATCAGCTCCTGAGGCTTCTGCATTCTTCATGTAGTTCTCGAGCCTTGGCTTTCAGCTCCCTCATCTCCTTTAAGCACTTCTCTGTATTGGTTTTTCTAGCTATACATTCGTCTAAATTTTTTTCAAAGTTTTTTAACTTCTTTGCCTTTGGTTTGAATTTCCTCCTGTAGCTCGTAGTTTGATCATCTGAAGCCTTCTTCTCTCAACTAGTCAAAGTCATTCTCCATCCAGCTTTGTTCCATTGCTGGTGAGGAACTGCGATCCTTTGGAGGAGGAGAGGTGCTCTTCTTTTTAGAGTTTCCAGTTTTTCTGCTCTGTTTTTTCCCCATCTTTGTAGTTTTATCTACTTTTGGTCTTTGATGATGGTGATATACAGATGGGTTTTTGGTGTGTATGTCCTTTCTGTTAGTTAGTTTTCCTTCTAACAGGGCCTCAGCTGCAGGTCTGTTGGAGTTTGCTAGAGGTCCACTCCAGACCCTGTTTGCCTGGGTATCAGCAGCGGTGTCTGCAGATCCGTGGTTTTTCATGAACCGCGAATGCTGCTGTCTGATCGTTCCTCTGCAAGTTTTGTCTCAGAGGAGTACCTGGCCATGTGAGGTGTCAGTCTGCCCCTACTGGGGGGTGCCTCTCAGGCTGCTCAGGGGTCAGGGTTAAGGGACCCACTTGAGGGGACTGTCTGCCCGTTCTCAGATCTCCAGCTGCGTGCTGGGAGAACCACTGCTCTCTTCAAAGCTGTCAGACAGGGACATTTAAGTCTGCAGAGGCTACTGCTCTCTTTTTGTTTGTCTGTACCCTGCCCCCAGAGGTGGAGCCTACCCAGGCAGGCAGGCCTCCTTGAGCTGTGGTGGGCTCCACCCAGTTGGAGCTTCCCAGCTGCTTTATTTACCTAAGCAAGCCAGGGCAATGGCGGGCGCCCCTCTCCCACCCTCGCTGCCTCCTTGCAGTTTGATCTCAGACTGCTGTGCTAGCAATCAGCTAGACTCCGTGGGCATAGGACCCTCCAAGCCAGGTGCAGGATATAATCTTGTGGTGCGCCCTTTTTTAAGCCCTTCGGAAAAGCGCAGTGTTCGGGTGGGAGTGACCCGATTTTCCAGGGGCCGTCTGTCACTCCTTTCTTTGACTAGGAAAGGGAACTCCCTGACCCCTTGCACTTCCCGAGTGAGGCAATGCCTCGTCCTGCTTCGGCTCGCGCACCCACTGACGTGCGCCCACTGTCTGGCACTCCCTAGTGAGAAGAACCCGGTACCTCAGATGGAAATGCAGAATTCACCCCTCTCCTGCGTCGCTCACGCTATGGGTAGTTTATTTTGCTGTGCAGAATCTCTTAATTAGATCCTATTTGTCAAGTTTTGCTTTTGTTGTGATTGCTTTTGGCATTTTCATAATGAAATCCTCACCCAAGACTACATCCTGAATGATATTGCCTCAGTTGTCTTCCAGGGTTTTTATAGTTTTTGGTTTACATTTAGGTCTTTAATCCTCTTGACTTAATATTTTTATATGGTGAAAGGTAAGGATCCAGCTTCAGTCTTCTGCATAGGCTGACCAGTTATCCCAGCACCATTTATTGAATAGTGAATTATTTCCTCCATTGCTTGTTTTTGTCCGTTTTGTCAAAGATCAGATGGTTGTAGGCATGCAGTATTACTTCTGGGCTCTCTATTTTGTTCCATTCATCTATGTATCTGTTTTTGTACCAGTACCATGCTGTTTTGGTTACTGTAGCCTGTAATATAGTTTGAATTTGGGTGGTGTGATGCCTCCAGCTTTTTTTTTTTATTATTATTTGTTTTTTCTTTGCATTGCCTTGGCTACTCAGGCTTTAATGGTTCTATACGAATTTTAAAATAGTTTTTTCAAGTTCTATGAAGATTGTCATTTTCAAAAGAAGACATACATGTGACCAACAAGCATGTAAAAAAAGTGCAACATGTAAAAACAAAAACAAAAACAAAAAACAAAACAAACAAAACAGATACTAGCAAGGCTGTAGAAAAAAGGGAATGCTTATCACTGTTGATGGGATTATAAATTAGTTCAACCATTGTGGAAAACAGTGTGGTGATTCCTCAAAGAGCTAAACATAGAACCTCCATTCAACCCAGCAATTCAATTATGGTGCATATACCCAAGAGAATATAAATTATTCGATTATAAAGACACATGCATATGTTCATTGCAGCACTATTCACAATAGCAAAGACATGGAATCAACCTAAATGTGCACCAGTGGTAGACTGGATAAAGAAAATATTTTACATATACACCGTGAAATACTATGTAGCCATAAAAAAAGAACAAGTTCATGTCCTTTCCAGGAACATGGAGGGAGCTAGAGACCATTACCCTTAGCAAACTAAGGTGGGAACAGAAACCAAATACCACATGTTCTCACTTATAAGTGGGAGCTAAATGATGAGGACACGTGGACACATGGAGGGGAACAACACACATTGGGGCCTATGGGAGGGTGGAAGGTGGGAGGAGAGAGAGGATCAAGAAATATAACTGATGGGTACTAGACTTAATACCTAGGTGATGAAATAATCTGTACAAAAAAGGTCCATGACATACATTTACCTGTGTAACAAACCTGCACATCCTGCACATGTATGCCAAACTTAAAATAAAAGTTAAAAATTTTTTTCTTCAGCGTAAATATACCAGGCATTTGCTTAACTAGATCACTTAGAATCATTATGGTAAGTTCATTTGCTTAATCAATATAAGGAACCACAACAAGATATTCTTCAGCTTTCCCCTTTCTCTTTAGAAATGAAAAGTTTTAGTTCAATAATTATAAACAAATTCTATTTAAGGAAAACACATGTAGAATTGGGCTCAGTTCCAACAAGAATTTGTCTAATCTAGGTTAATTGTTTTTGTTAAAACGAATTAGAAATTTAGTCTCTTTTTACATGTGTATATACATTGGCAGTAGCATCAGTCTGCAAGTAGATTGAAAATATATCAACTATATATTGACAAATGTTTCTAATTATTTAGTTTCTATTTTATGGTATTTTGTTTTAATCAGCATAGGTTACTTAATAGCTTCTGCACAGCAAAAGAAACTATTAACAGAGTAAACAGCCTACACAATGAAAGAAAATTTCTGCAAACTATGCATCTGACAAAGGTCTAATATCTAGCATCTATAAAGAACGTAAGCAATTTACAAGAAAAAAAAACATAAAAAACCATTAAAAAGTGGCCAAGAGATATGAACAGAAACTTTTCAAAAGAAAATTCTTTATGTTTGGTGGCATTTCAAATGTATTATAAATTGCTATTTGTTTTTATCTTTATGACTAAAGTTTAGTGATAGAATTTCTTATATTAGCTTTTTATGTGTATGGTGATTCCATTTCTGTCACCTAATAATTATCAATCTCTAAGTGACCTTTGTGGTTCTGCTACCACATTTCTAAAGTAAGTATATTATGGTACCTAACATTTTAGTTTCTTATGAGAAAGAGATAATAAGCCAACACTTTCAGAAAAATGTCTGGCTTATAGTAATAATTTTTTTTTACAATTATATCCAATATTAATATCATGATCATCATCATCACAAGTATTGATTCACTTATTAATTTGTGACAGTATATAGGTCATTAAACTTGGGTTTAATTATTTTGGTCCTCCACTAATTAGATATATAACATAGGGAAAGGCACTTAAATCTTCTGGGCCTTATTTCTTCATCTGTAAAGTGAAACTAACTATAAGGGTCTACAGTGCTGTACAACATAGCTTTTTCCTATATACGTTCACTAGCTGCACAAGGAACACAAGGAACTGAATATTACTTCTAAATAGGGCCATGTGGCTGGTAGTTATCATGTCAGAAAATGCTGATCTATAATATTCCAAGATTCTAAATTTAAGTACATTCATCAACAAAACAAGACAATAACTGGAAAAAGTAGTTTTTAGACCCATGATATTCATTTATTCCCAGAAGTGGTCAGCTTTCAGGGAGTATCTGAGGTGCGGGTATTATTGGGCTGAGAGGGCCTTACTTGTTTTCACTTATACACAAGTCAATTTATTTTTCCATTAAATTTGCATATTTTAATGATGAGTGACCACTTTCTTAATGAAGTCTATGCTTGTTTTGTGTGTGTGTGTGTGTGTGTGTGTGTATGTGTTTTCTGTTTTTTTTTTTTTTGAGACAGAGTCTCGTTCTGTCAGCAGGCTGGAGAGCAGTGTCGTGATCTTGGCCTCTTGAGTTCCAGTGATTCTTATGTCTCAGCCTCCCAAGTGTCTGGAACTACAGGTGTGTGCTACCACACCCAGCTAATTTTTTTGCATTTTCAGTAGAGATGGGCTTTTGCCATGTTGGCCAGGCTGGTCTTGGCCTCAAGTGATCTACCCACCTTGGCGGCCCAAAGTGTTGGCATTATAGATGTGAGCCACCATGCCTGGCCTATGCTTGTGGTTTTAATTGAGATATTTTAAAATCTGGTGATTGTACTGAAGTTGGCTCAGAAAAGCCATCCTATGTTCATAGAAATAAACCTATGTTTTCATCAGAAATAAACCTATATTTATTTCATCAGAAATAAACCTATATTTATTTCATCAGAAATAAACCTATGTTAATAGTGAAAAATATAGGCTTATACAATAGTGGCATTTCTACCCTGGATACACATTAGAATTACTTGGGAGATGGGTGCTTTTAAAATCCTGTTTTTTGAATCCCATTCTCAGATTCTTATTTACTTGGTATAAGATGGGGCCATGCATTGGAATGTTTTCAGGTGATTCAAATAGGCAGTTAGGGTGAGAACCACTAGCTAAAACGTTTGGGGGAGAGTAGCATAACATCAATTGTCACAGCATTCCAGGAACTGGGGCCATGAGCTGTTATGTAAATTTCAGAGTCACATTTGTCAAATCTCGGTATGTGTAGAATTCCCTTAGGGGCTTAGAGGAATCTTCATTTTGTCAGGTGCGCCAGAGATTCTGATGCAGAAGGAGCTTGAGAAGTGAAAGATCTCTACAATGAGAACACAAAACACTGGTGAAAAAAATCATAGATGACACTAACAAATGGAAAACCATCCCATGTGCACAGATTGGAAAAATCAATATCAACAAAGTGGCCATACTGCCCAAAGCAATTCAGCGCTATTCCTATCATACTACCAATGTCACTTTTCACAGAAATAGAAAACTATTCTGAAATTCACATGGAACCAAAAAAGAGCCCAAATAGATAAGGCAATGCTAAGAAAAAAAAAAAAAAGGTGGAGGCAGCACATTACCTGACTTCAAACTATACTATCAGGCTATTCACAATAGCAAAGATGTGGAATCAACCTAAATACCCATCAACAGTGGATTGGATAAATAAAATGTGGTACATATATACCAATGGAATACTATGCATCCATAAAAAAGAATGACACCATGTCCTTTGCAGCAACATGGATGCAGCTAGAGGTCATTATTCTAAGAAAATTAATGCAGAAGTAGGAAAACGAATACCACGTGTTCTGACTTCTAAGTGGTTGTTAAATGTACACATGGACATAAAGATGAGAACAATAGACACTAGGGACTACTACAGGGGAGATGAAGAGGGGAACAAGGGTTGAAAAACTATCTGGTACTATGCTCAGTATCTGGGTGATGAGATCGGTCATATCATAAACCTCAGCATCACAAAATATACACATGTAACAAACCTGTGGATATGCCCCCTGAATCTAAAATGAAAGTTGAAATTATTTTAAAAAATAAATTTTTAAAAAGAAGGAGTTTGGATTACATGTTGAGAAGCATTGTTTTACAGCACAGTCATATTTTCTGCCAACTTGTTAAGCTTGAGATAAGATATAAAATAAATAAGTGAAAGAATTTTGACTACCTTAAAATACTACGTAAATGTGTAGTATTTCATATTTGTTAGATTTGGAATTCTTGGAAAAGTGGCTTTGAATTGAGTACAGTGTCAGATGAGATGGTGATATTGTGGTTGGTATTAGCAGAGATAGCACATGTTAATGAATGTGGTCTGGAAGGAAAAAATGAGCCTCCTCTTTTTTTTTTTAGTTTTATTATTATTATACTTTAAGTTTTAGGGTACATGTGCACAATGTGCAGGTTTGTTACATATGTATACATGTGCCATTTTGGTGTGCTGCACCCATTAACTCACCATTTAGCATTAGGTCGGAGCCTCCTGTTAATGAATGTGGTCTGGAAGGAAAAAATGAGCCTCCTCTATTTGCCTCTTTAGTAATGGATGGTGACATCATTCCTTTCTAGTTGTCACTGTGGAAATTTAAATAGGAAAAGAAGGCTTTGGTTTATAGCCTATGGCAATGACATTTTTGGTCACTGGTTGTCTTCTAAGAGGTATTCTTAGGTGCCCTTTGTTACTATAGTAAATTTAAAGTGACCCAGTTCTGATTCCAAGCCTTTTCAAAGTAAGAAATCTTATTTTGTCTGAAAGCCTATGCAATCATTGGGTGCTGTATTTTTGTTAACTGAATTAACTCAAGTGATATAAACAAAGAATTCGAATTTATTCATTCAAAATGATAAATTATTACTACATTGAGCATAACACTCATGTCCCAATGATTAATGCATTTTATTTCTGTTGACTCATGAACATGAGAAACAAAACCATAATCTAAGTTTGCTTACTAGATATGAAATGCAAATGAAGAGAACATTTGGATTAATTGAACTGTTATTCCATCAGACTAAAAAGAGATAGAAGCTTCCATATCACACTTAGACGTTCTTATAATGAATCAGATCACTTGCAGTCCAAAAACTAGTTTTCCTTTCCCTTTGGCAGTGCTAAGATGGACACTCAATATTTTCTTCTGTGGCTTTCCTTCCATCATGCTTTCATAGCTAGTTAACCTTTTTTAAAAATAGGTATATGATTACTCTAGACATGGTAATGCATTTGGCAGGGTTTGAGTCTTCTTTTAGCACAGTCTCATTGAGGTTGCAAAGAATAGTCATTCTCAGATTTCCACAGGTGATATTGAATGCAGGTTTATTATAGGAGTTCAAGGAAAGAATAATTTTGTAGCTGGTATCAGTCAGAATCTATTAATCACAGCATCTCTATTCACTAATCATATGAATATGCTCCCAGAAGTGGTCTTTTATAATGTCAACTTAAGCATTTCTTTTACTTTTTTAATTTTTATTTTTTTAGATACAGGATTTCTCCCTGTCACCCAGGCTAAAATGCAGTGGCACATCTTTGCTCACCATAACCTCAAACTCCTGGGCTCAAGTGATCCTCCTACCTCAGCCTCCCACATAACTGGTACAGGTGCATGTTATCGTGCCCAGTTAGTTTTTAAATTTTTGATAAAGACAGGGTCTCGCTGTGTTGCCAAGACTGGTCTCTAACTCCTGGCCTCAAGTGATCCTCTTGCCTTTGCCTCTCAAAGTGCTGGGATTGTATTGCAGACATGAGCTACCACGCCTGGCTAGCATTTCTAAATATAGTTGTAAACCATCTTTTCTTTATATTTCTCTTTTATTATCTTTGGTTCTCTCTGAATGTCTCACAAGCAATATGTCTTGGAGAGAATATGATTTGCTGGGTTTCTTACTAACATCAGACACTCATATTGTATAGGATTCCCAGACTATCTCTCTTCATAAGCCATTTCTCTCCTATATGTTCAGTGTATGGATGGCTGCCTTTGTTAGAATGCTTATCTATGGGTCTCAACAAAAAAGGAATGGATACTCATGAACCAATTCCTGGTTTAGACAGCTTCCCTCACAAGAGGGCTATGGACCTGTCAGGCACTGATGTCTTCACAGCCTTTATAGCTCGCATCAAGTACTGAAGTCCTATGAGCAAGTCTGTCTTTCTGAGGTGCTTTGTAACCCTTTCCTCTGATCAATTATGTATTGATTTTAAAATTAAAATCTCAGAGAGCAATCTTATTTTCTTTATAAGTTCTTGGGGGAATGTCCCTTTAATACTGCAACAGAGATTAAATTCATCCAAGTTATTTTAAACAGTATTGATAGATCTAGCAAGATAAATCAGATATAAAATCTGGTCAAAGTAATCAGAGAATAAAAAAATTACTACAAAATGGAACTTATGTAAAATCCAAGATACTTAATGGAAAATCTTTCCAATCATTTTTAACATTGTGATTATCATTTAGATGAGGTTCCATATGAAAATAATATAAAGTCAAGTTAACATATCATGGGACAAAATAGGAATTACTACTATCAAAATTGAAAAATATGTCACTTAATTCATTAAAAAAAGGAATGAATTCCTATTATGAAGTAAAATATCCTTCTTATTCTTTATTAAACAGTATAAATTTTAAAGAAACACAAATCTACATGAACCCAAAGTTGGTATATGTTCCATATTTTATAAATATTAAATTTTGAATCCAAAGTCAAATGCTGCATGTAATAATATTCAGTAAATTTTTAATAAATGTGTCGATTAAATTTTTAAAGGAAATAAATATTAATATAATGTATCCACTGCCATTTGAATGTTCTCAAATCACTTATTAATTATCCTTCTGATGAATTTAATTTTTATGCAGTCTATCTTATAGGTATATGTCATGTTGAACAAAAAAAAAATATTTTTATATTTAAGGCAGATAGTCCCAGATCCTTGTAACTTTGACACTTGCTATCATTGTAAAACCATTTCAGTATCTTATTTCAGTATCAAGGATCTCAAGAGGTAAGTGGAAATGAGAAGCAAATTCCCAATTAAGTTTAATCAATTTTGTGTTTTAACCAGCACTCTCTTTCAAATATTCTACATATGAATGCTTTGTGTTGCTCTTTGATGTGGGTATAAATGTCAATATAAGTAAATAGAGTAGTCCCTCGGTATCCAGGGGAGAAATTGATTCCAAGACCTCCCTTGGATGCCCAAATCCATGAATGCACAAGTCTGAGATAGAAAATGGCATAATATTTTCTTATAACCTAAGCATATACTCCTATATACTTTAAATAATCTCTAGATTACTTATAACACCTAATATGATGTCAGTACTATGTAAATATTTTTATACTGTATTGTTTAGGGAATACGACAAGAAAGAAAAGCCTGTACATGTTCAATACAGATGCATCTTTTTCTCAAATATTTGAATATAGTAATATTTGGACTGTGGTTGGTTGAATTCACGGATTGATACAAGAGGCCAACTGTACTCCGACTGTGGCTGTAAATCTAATTTGTTATACATCCACTTTATTTTATTTTTTACTTTTATTTTTTTGAGATAGAGTCTCACTCTGTCACCCAGGCTGGAATGCAGTGGCACATCTTGGCTCACTGCAACCTCCAACTCCAGGTCCAAGCAATTCTCGTGCCTCAGCCTCTCAAGTAGCTGGGACCACAGGTGAAAGCCACCATGTCAGGCTAATTTTTGTAATTTCAGTAGATACGGGGTTTCACCATGCTGCCCAGGCTGGTCTCAAACTCCTGACCTAAGATGATCCACCTGGTTCGGCCTATCAAAGTGCTGGAATTACAGGTGTGAGCCATTGCAACCAGCATGTACATCACTTTGTTCAGGATATAGTAACATTGAAATAAATGATTTTTAAAATAAGAGCAAAGAAAATGTTTTTCCTCCCAGAAGGGAGCAACATTCATATGAAGGCCAACAACCATATGAAGGAAAGCTCAATATCACTTATTGTTAGAGAAATGCAAATCAATGGTACAATGAGATATCGTCTCACACCAGTCAGAATGGCTACTATGAAAATAAAAAAATAGATGCTGGTGAGGTTGTAGAGAAAAAAGGAACACTTATACACTGTTGGTGGGAGTGTAAATTAGCTCAACCATTGTAGAATACAGTCTAGTGATTCCTCAAAGATCTAGACAGAAATACCATTCAACCCAACAATCCCATTACTGGGTATATATCAAAAGGAATATAAATCATTCTATCATAAACACACATGCATGCATATGTTCACTGCAGCACTATTCACAATAGCAAAGATATGGAATCAACTTACATGCCCACCAATAAAAGCAAGAATAAAGAAAATATGGTACATGTACACCATGGAATACTATGCAGACATAAAAAGAATGGTATCATGTCTTTTACAGGGACATGGATTGAGCTGGTGGCCATTATCCTTAGCAAAGTAATGCAGGAACAGCAAACCAAATACCACATGTTCTCACTTATAAATGGGAGCTAAACGATGAGAACACACGAACACATGGAGGAAAACAACACACACTGGGGCTTATGGGAGGATGCAAGATGGGAGGAGGGAGAGAATTAGGAAAAATAACTAATGGGTACTGAGCTTAATGTCTGGGTGATGAAATAATCTGTACAAAAAAAAAGCCCATGACACCATTTACCTATGTGACAAACCTGCACATCCTGCACATGTATTCTAAACTTAAAATAAACATTAAAAAAGGATACAAAAATAAACAAGCATGCATAACTTTAACTTTTAGTATTGCAACTTTTTACAGAATACTCTGTTACATAAATGAATTAAGTGTACTATTTTGTTTAACAGCATTTTTACTGTTGTTCTCCAATCAAATCTATAACATAAAATCTTTAAAATCAGGCAAACTGGTACTGGACACTGCAAAACATACCAAATTGCAAAGACCATCGACACTCTGAGGAAACTGCATCAACTAGTAGGCAAAATAACCAGCTAGCATCATAATGACAGGATCAAATTCACACATAACAATATTAACCTCAAATCTAAATGGGCTAAATGACCCAATTAAAAGACACAGACTGGCATATTAGATAAAGAGTCAAGACCCATCGGTGTGCTGTATTCAGAAGGCCCATCTCAAAATAAAGGGATGGAGGAATATTTACCAAGCAAATGGAAAGCAAATAAAATAAAATAAAATAAAATAAAAGCAGGGGTTGCAATCCTAGTCTCTAATAAAACAGACTTTAAACCAACAAAGATAAAAAATGACAAAGAAAGGCATTACATAATGGTCAAGGGATTAATGCAACAAGAAGAGCTAACTATCCTAAATATATACGCACCCAATACAGGAGCGCCAGATTCATAAAGCAAGATCTTAGAGACCTACAAGGAGACTTAGACTCCCATACAATAATAGTGGGAGACTTTAACACCCCACTGTCAATATCAGACAGATCAATGAGATAGAAAATTAACAAGGATATTCAGAAATTGAACTCAGATGTGGACCAAGCAGACCTAATAGATATCTACAGAACTCTCCACCCCAAATCAACAGATTATACATTCTTCTCAGCAACACATCACACTTATTCTAAAATTGACCACATAATTGGAAGTAAAACACTCCTCAGAAAATGCAAAAGAATGGAAATCATAACTAACAGTCTCTCAGAACATAGTGCAATCAAATTAGAACTCAGGATTAATAAATTCACTCAAAACTGCACAACTACATGGAAACTGAACAACCTGCTCCTGAATGACTACGGTAAATAACGAAATTAAGGCTGAAATGGATAAGTTCCTTGAAAGCAATGAGAACAAAGAGACAACATACCAGAATCTCTGGAACACATTTAATGCAGTTTTTAGAGGGAAATTTATAGCACTAAATGTTCACAGGAGAAAGACAGAAAGATCCAAAATTGACCCCCTAACATCACAATTAAAAGAACTAGAGAAGCAAGAGCGAACAAATTCAAAAGCTAGCAGAAGATAAGAAATAACTAAGATCAGAGCGGAACTGAAGGAGATAGAGACACAAAAAAACCCTTAAAAAAATCATTGAGCCCAGAAGCTAGCTTATTGAAAAGATTAACAAAATAGATAAACCACTAGCCAGACTAATAAAGAAGAAAAGAGAGAAGAATCAAACAGACACAATAAAAAATGATAAAGGGGAGATCACCACTGACCCCACAGAAATACAAACTACCATCAGGGAATACTATAAACACCTCTAAGCAAATAAACTAGAAAATCTAGAAGAAATGGATAAATTTCTGGATACATACACCCTACCAAGACTAAACCAGGAAGCTGTTGAATCCCTGAATAGATCAATAGCAAGTTCTGAAATTGAGGCAGTAATTAATAGCCTACCAACCAAGAAAAGCCCAGGACCAGATGGATTCACAGCCAAATTCTACCGGAGGTACAAAGAGGAGCTGGTACCATTCTTTCTGAAACTATCCAAAGAGTGTAAAATGAGGGACTCCTCTCTAACTCATTTTATGAGGCCAGCATCATCCTGATACCAAAACCTGGCAGAGACACAACAAAAAAAGAAAATTTCAGACCAATATACCTGATGAACATCTATGTAAAAATCCTCAATAAAATACTGGCAAACCAAATCCAGCAGAATATCAAAAAGCTTATCCACCATGATCACGTTGGCTTCATCCCTGAGATGCAAGGCTGGTTCAACATATGCAAATCAATAAACATAATTGGTCACATAAACAGAAGCAATGACAAAAATCACATGATTATCTCAGTAGATGCAGAAATGACCTTCGATAAAATTCAACACCCCTTCACACTAAAAACTCTCAATAAACTAGGTATTGATGGAACAGATCTTAAAATAATTAGAGCTACTTATGACAAACCCACAGCCAATATCATACTGAATGGGCAAAAACTGGAAGCATTCCCTTTGAAAACTGGCACAAGACAAGGATGCCCTCTCTCACAACTTCTATTCAACATAGTATTGGAAATTTTGACCAGGGCAATCAGGCAAGAGAAAGAAATAAAGGGTATTCAATTAGGAAAAGAGGAAGTCAAATTGTCCCTGTTTGCAGATGACATGATTGTATATGTAGAAAACCCCATTGTCTCAGCTCAAAATCTCCTTAAGCTGATAAGCAACTTCAGCAAATTCTCAGGATAGAAAATCAATGTGCAAAAATCACAAGCATTCCTATATACCAGTAGCAGAGAAACAGAGAGCCAAATCATGATTGAACTCCCATTCACAATTGCTACAAAGAGAATAAAATACCTAGGAATCCAACTTAAAGGGATGTGAAGGACCTCTTCTAGGGGAACTACAAACCACTGCTCAAAGAAATAAGAGAGGACACAAACAAATGGAAAAACATTCCATGCTCATGGATAGAAAGAATCAATATTGTGAAAATGGCCACCCTGCCCAAAATAATTTATAGATTCAATGATATCCCCATCAAGCTACCATTGACTTTCTTCACAGAATTAGAAAACTCTACTTTAAATTTCATATAGAACCAAAAGAGAACCTGTATAGCAAAGACAATCCTAAGCCAAAAGAACAAAGCTGTAGGCATCATGCTACCTGACTTCAAACTATACTGCAAGGCTACAGTAATCAAAACAGCATGGTCCTGGTTCAAAAACAGATATATAGACCAATGGAATAGAACAGAGGCCTCAGAAATAACATCACACATCTACAAACATCTGATCTTTGACAAACCTGACAAAAACAAGAAATGGGGAAAGGATTCCCTATTTAATAAATGGTGCTGGGAAAACTGGCTAGCCATATGTAGAAAGCTGAAACTGGATCCCTTCCTTACACTTTACATAAAAATTAATTCAAGATGGATTAAAGACTTAAATTTTAGACCTAAAACCACAAAAGCCATAGAAGAAAACCTAGGCAATGCCATCCAGGACATAGGCATGGGCAATGAATTCATGACTAAATCACCAAAAGCAGTGGCAACAAAAGACAAAATTAACAAATGGGATCTAATTAAACTAAAGAGCTTCTGCATGGCAAAAGAAACTACCATCAGAGTGAACAGGCAACCTATAGAATGGAAGACAATTTTTGCAACCTACCCATCTGACAAAGGTCTAATATCCACAATCTACAAATAACTTAAACAAATTTATGAGAAAACAACCCCATCAAAAAGTGGGCAAAGGATATGAACAGACACTTCTTAAAAGAAGACATTTATGCAGCCAAAAACATGAAAAAAAGGTCATCATCACTGGTCATTAGACAAATGCAAATCAAAACCAAAATGAGATATCATCTCACACCAGTAGAATGGAGATCAATAAAATGTCAGGAAACAACAGATGCTGGAGAGGATGTGAAGAAATAGAAATGCTTTTACACTGTTGGTGGGAGTGTAAATTAATTCAACCATTGTGGAAGACAGTGTGGTGATCCTCAAGGATCTAGAGCCAGAACTACCATTTGATCCAGCAATCCCATTACTGGAGATAACCCAAAGGATTATAAATCATTCTACTATAAAGAAACATGCACACGTATATTTATTACAGCACTGTTCACAATAGCAAAGACTCAGAACCAACCCCAATGCCCATCAGTGATAGACTGGATAAAGAAAATGTGGCACACATGCACCATGGAATACCATGCAGCTATAAAAAAGGATGAGTTCATGTCCTTTGCAGGGACATGGATGAAGCTGGAAACCATCATTCTCAGCAAACTGATACAAGAACAGAAAACCAAACACCGCATGTTCTCACTCATAAGTGGGAGTTGAACAAAGAGAATACATGGACACAGGGAGGGGAGCATCACACACTGAGGCCTGTCGGGGGGTCAGGGGTTATGAGAGGGATAGCATTAGGAGAAATACCTAATGTAGATGATGGGTTGATGGGTGCAGCAAACCACCATGGCACGTGTATACCTATGTAACAAACCTGCTCATTCTGCACATGTATCACAGAACTTAAAGTACAATAACGAAAAAGAAAGAATAAGATAAAAAAACAAAATTTGATTTTGCCAGGACACTCAGAATGTATCAGGCTCAGTGATAAACTCACATGAATCAAGCTCACAAAAGACTCATCTATAAAACAGATTGCTAATGCATTAATTCAAATGAAATAGAACTTCTAATGCTCAAGAATATTCTTATCAGCTGGTCAGTATATCTTCACTTTAGCAATAAAGCTTTATGTGGAGCAATATCATCAGAATATTGCTTCATGAGCAAGAGCAACCAGGAAGATGATCATAATAGGGTTAAAAGATTGCAATGGTCTGAGGTAGCCACAAGAGATATACGTCCCTCTCCTTGGATAGCCCTGAAACTACTCTTGTGTGTTCTTGCTGTTTTATTATCCTTTTGGTGGACTCTATATAGAATTTCTGCCTTCACTCAGCATATTGTTATTTATCTTCCAAAATGCTAAAACAAGGTAGATTAGATTGTCTTTCTTGTATATCAGTAGTATTGTATTAATGCCTTCTAAAGTTTATTCATAAGTTCCTTGACTACATTTCAGCAATGTGTTTTTTATTCTAATTTCATTTAGGAAGGGTTTTTCTCATGGCAATGAACTGTGTATTAGCATGGGGATGTTAGTTGCTGTTTTTGCAAATAGCTGATTTCATATGTTACAGTTTTAAGTCCAATTATCTTAAATTATTATGAAACTGTTAAATATAATTTAACATGAACCTGTGTGTGTAGTATGTTTTGTAATAAAGCAAAATGGTTTAAAATGTACAAAAATATATACAGAAAAAAATGAATAGAATACTTCATGTTTTGAGCCATAATTTTCAATAAGCATAATCTATATAATCTGTATTTGGTACAAACAACTATCTGGTACAAATAGTTAAAAAATGAGATATATATTACAATTTTAAATACTTGTACTAAACACTTTGCTATTACATAGACCCACCAATTTTTATGCAAATACTTACCAAAAAATTACCATAGCTATTTATTATGATGTTTAAAAATTTTACTTACTAACATTAACTCATAAAAACAGCAGCCTCTGATGAGTAATGTGCTAGTTTTGCTGCCTTTTAAAATTATCTTTACATAGAAATATTAGGTCTTTTAACAAGATACGCTCTTCTTTTTTTGGCTCTGAAACCAAAGCATTAACAAATTTCGAGATTGGACAAAAAATAATTTATCATTAATTACTTTTTAAATAGTAATTTTTAATTAGCAATAATTATTTTTCTGTGAACTAATACTGATAGATTGTGCATATATCTGTTAGAAATGTGTAGAAATATATAATTTTATCTTGAATTATTACTTTAGTTATTAATTTTATTTATTATTGCTATTATAATTATTATTTATTGTTATCAAGAGAGAAGTGTGAATTACAATAACCTTTTTAAAAAATGATTTGACATACCTATTAAAATTTAAAATATGCATTTCTTTTGACCTAGCAATCCCACTTTTAGAAATATGTTTTTCAGAAATAAAAGCTTCAGTATATTAGAATACGTGTACAAAGAAGTTCAGTGAATATATGATTTATTATTTTAAAAATAACAATCTGAAAGTTATCTGATACATCAAAGGATGGGATATCATGGAATCATTTCTTTTTAATTTTTAATTGTAATTTTTAATGGTTCATAGTAGGTGTATATATTTATGTGGTACATGAGATACTTTGATATAGGCACACAATGCGTAGTAATCACATCATGTAAAATGTGGTACTCATCTGCTCAAGCATCTATCCTTTGTGTTACAAACAATCCAGTTATACTCTTTTGATTATTTTAAAATGTACAATTAACTTATTAATGACTATCATCACCCTGTTGTGCTCTCAAATACTAGGTCTTATTCATTCTTTCTTTTTTTTTGTACCCATTATCCAAACTCACTTCTCCCCCTCTACCCTACCACTACTTTTCCCAGCCTCTGGTAATCATCGTTCTACTCTTTATCTCTATTAGTTTATTTGCTTTAATTTTTAGATCCCACAAGTAAGTGAGAACTTGTAATATTTGTCTTTCTGTGCCTGCCTTATTTCACTTAGCATAATGACCTCCAGTTCTATTCGTGTTGTTGCAAATGACAGGATCTAATTTTTTGTATGTCTGAATAGTACTCCACTATGTATAAGTACCACATTTTCATTATTCATTCATCTACTGATGGATACTTAGGTTGCTTCCAAATTTTGGCTATTGCAAACAGTGCTGCAACAAACGTGGGAGTTCAAATATCTCTCAATATACTGATTTGTTTAAATCATAAACTATATCCAAGGGTAGTAACTTGGCAAAATATGTAAAATACAAATCACTGTGCATTGCTTTTATTTTGTTAAAAAGTAAAGAGGTATGTGAATAGATATCCCCCAATTCAGTAAATATCCCACCATTACATACAAATATATGTAAATATATATGTATACATACACACATTCCGTGGGTTAAGTGAAAGGCAGAATATGATATACATAAAATTGTTAATATATTTACTTATAAATGTAGATTGGAAGGGGTATGTGAGGAGAAACTATTAGTTGTCCTCATGTAGCTCTATATTTGGTCAATTTGTTTCAATAAGCAAGTATTTTACTTTTTTAAGTTAAAAGAGTAATTTATTAATAAATTCAATTGTTATGTCTTTCAGGTTTTTGTTTTCATTTCTCATTTAAATGTTCTTGGACTTAGTTGTATTTAATGCCAATTTTCATGACAGCTCAAAATCATTGGTAGACTTTGTTGATCATCCTGAAGCCACTCCAAACATATATAGTCCTGTAAATTTTTGTTGTTTTATTGCTTTCAAGGTGGAAATTGGTTCAATTCTTTGACACTATTTTATTCATATCCTGTCTTCTCTTATCAAGATATACTTACTGGGAGAGCAAGGCAAGAGCGAATATTTTAGGCATTGATTTGGGAGGAGGTATTGGTAATATATTAAGTGCTAGAGGGAAGAGAATTTATTGACATTTAGGCACTTATCCTTGACCTGCAACTCGATGTTCTGGGAAGGACAACTAAATCTAGTCCTAATAGACTTGTAATTGATTGAATTGTGTTCCCCACAAATTCATATCTTAAACCCCAATGTGACTATATTTGGAGATGAGTCTTAAGTAATTAAAGTTAATTGGGTCATAATGATGGGGCCCTAATCTAATAGAACTCCTGTCCTTATAAGAGGAAGAGACACCATATCTCCTCACATGTGCACTGAGGAAGGCCATGAGGGGACCCAGTGAGAATTTGCATTGTTTAAGCCACCCAGTCTGTGGTATTTGTTATAGCAGCTCAAGCAGACTAATACAAGGATTCAATGGCTTCTTGAGATATAACCTACAATAAGTAATGTGATGATACTAAAACTGATTTGCCTAATATTGAAGAAAACAGAAGGCTCAAATAGATTCTAAAAAATTAGGCTCATTATTACATGAGATCAGAAGCATTCATCTTCTATGTTTTCTAGATTGGCCTATAGGACGACTTCTTAACTAATGCAATAAACTAATGCAATAAATGATATAACACACCATATAACCCTCCATGATGAGTGATTACACTCAACCAACTACTGATACATAGTGTTGTGTTGCAAGTAGCTAGAATTCATGGGTCCAGAACCAAGGGGAAGAAATGGCATTGGGACTTCTCACCATCACTTCCTGTGACTCATCTTGCTGAATTTATTTTTCTGTCCTTGCAAACTTTTATTCTACCTGACTTTGTCCTGGTTCTCAGATTTTAGATCAACTGGATCCCTGCCTAGATTAACAGGCAAAGAAAGGAACTATTTAACTGATGACCACAAGGACATACAGTTGCTGCTAAAAATGAGAGATGAGTGGAGTGTATATGGCAGCCAGGAGCTTCATCAGAATGACTGTTGATCTTTCTATGCCCAGAGATAATGGTTAAAGAGCTATTTAAAAAGTCACGACACAGGCCAGGCATGGTGGCTCATGCTTGTAATCCCAGTTCTTTGGGAGGCTGAGGCAGGCAGATCACAAGGTCAGGAGATCAAGAACATCCTGGCCAACATGGTGAAAACCCAACTCCACTAAAAGTACAAAAATTAGCTGGGTGTGGTGGTGCGTGCCTGTAATCCCATTACTCAGGAGGCTGAAGCAGGAAAATTGCTTGAACCAGGGAGCTGGAGATTGCAATGAGCTGAGATTGTGCCACTGCACTGTAGCCTGGCCACAGAGCAAGACTCCGTCTCAAAAGAAAAAAATAAATCATGACACAAAAAAGAGTGACTCAACTAAGAGCTCAGGACATTTAAGGATGAGGGTCCAGGTGCCACAGCAGAACAGCAACACTTATTTGTTCAAATGCTATGTTGGAAGGCAAAGAATATCCAGAATCAGTGACAGAAGAGGCAGGTGATTAAAAGCACTTAACAGCCTGAGGACCAGCTACAGCAATAAGGACTGTAGTTTGGTTTATTAGCCTTCTTTCATTCAGTATTAATGAATATCGTTGCTGGCTACCCGCTGGAATAAGACTGTATGTGATAGTCTGGACCTAACGAAGGGCACAAACAGACATGAAAGGTGACATATAAGGAGAGTATTGCACATCTTTTAGAAATTACTTCAAAATTAAATCCTCTTGCCCTATTAATCTAGCCACTACCATAGCAACCTATTTCACTCAGGCATCTATTAGCTTCACACAGATGCAAGTTGACAGTGCCTTGCATTAGAAGTGCACTTCTTGATTCTTATTTCTTGCCCTGGGTCTTCCATGATGCTGAGGTGTGGGCACCCATGGGAACCTGTTTGGAAATTACAGAGAGCCCAAATATATGGACCAGATAATGCCCTGTGTGGAGGGATGGAATCTTGTTCCTAGTGGGCCTCTAGAAGCTAGAAAAGACAAGGAAACATTCTTCCCCAGGGCCTCCAGAGAGGCAGAAAGCTCTGTTTTGACTTTAGCCCAGTGAGACTAATGTCAGACTCCTGACCTACAGAGCTATAGGACAATAGATTTGTTTTGCTTTAAGCTACTGAGTTTATGAAAATTCATTACAGCTACGGAAGAAAGCTAATATGCCACTTGACCCATTTTATTTACTGATCATTTCCCCTTTACAAGGCTGCATTTACTTTCAATTGTTCTCCTTGTCTTCACCTCATTGTTAGGGTAATATTTCAGGTACTGCAATCTGGAACTCCAGACTCTTCACAATCTAAGTCCTACCTATTTTTCTATCTGTATTCCTTTTGTTCCTTAATTATACCCCTGTAACCCAACAAGTTTAGTAATGTATTTGCCAAATACGTCTTCAGAATTCGAGCCTCTTAGGGCAGAGGTTTTTCTTTTCTACAATCATCATCAATGTGTATTTTATGCCATGTCTCTATATATATAGACATGAAAAATATATGTATTTCATGTCTATATACATGTATAGACAGAGAGAGAATGAATACGTGTTAAATTAGTGTTTTTTCAAACTAAATCATACATAGAAGCTCTATATGTAAATTAAATAAATGAAGAACTATTTGGAGGGAGCAGGTAGGGGGTCCAGAACCCCACTAGCTCAAGCTCCTCAAGAATAGACCAAACCTGTTGTCCACAGACAACAAAGGTTGGCTGGTCGGTCAGTCAGTCTCTTTCTCTCTGAATTCTCTATTTTTATGGCCTCCAACTGATTAAGTTAGACCCAAGAAGACTAACCAGAATATTTGCTCTTATATATCCCTTACTTAAAGTCAACTGATCAAGAATTTTAAGTATGTCTGCAAAATCCCATTAGACACACCTTTAGATTTGTGTTTGATTGAATCACTGGGGGTTGTAGACCAGCTGAGCTGACACGTCAAGAAAGCCATCACAATAAATATAATTTAGTTTTCAAATAAGTAAGAATTTAAACTTTCTAATACAGTTAATTTATATACTAAAGGAGTATCTAAAATTTCTTTAAAATGTCCTACATCATTACAACCTTCATTACGATAATCTAGATAACATATTGTTAACATAAAACTATTTATTGGAAGTATAAACAGCACTTGTAGGTTAGTGAAATGCAGGTTAATGTTTTTATAGAGAACTGAAGTTCCAAGCTAATAGATCATTTGTTGGAGTACAAAATAGAGAACAAGGATTTTTCAGAGTATAGAAAGAAAAGCAAATCTCTTTTTAAAATCATTTAAATACACTGTGTTTAAAGGAAACTTTGAACAAGTGCATGAACAAAGATGAAAAACCTTCTACGAATTGAAGAAGCACTCTTAAAGATATATCTGTCTTCCGACAGTTCAGAGCAGGCCTAATGTACAATATGTAATCTACAAGGATTCTTATTTATGATAGAAAGCAAAGAATGACATCAGGTTTATTTACAAAAAAAAATTATTGTATACCCTCCCCAAAGAAAATTTCAATACTTAAGTACATACTTCATACTCATAATCATTTTAACAAATAATGGAAAGCTCAAGGCTTGATTGTTAACTACATCAAGATCTGACTATGAACACTGAAACCATTTGAATGTAAAGCAAAATTAACTTACAATTATAATAACAAAGTGAATGCACATACAAAATTCTTGAGAAGATCTACTTTCTTAGTAAAAAATAGCACTGTAAAGAGAAATTACAAATATTCTTTCTCAATCACTTCATGGAATTGAAAGAGTAAGAGGCAAAACTGTTCAAATTTTATCTTCAAAAACCGGATACCAAAAGAGATAAAAACTTCTTGACCTAATTTAAAAAAAAAATAGAAGATAAAAATCCCAGAAGGTATAGGCTTTTCGACCTACCCATACCTCCCAGGAACTGAACTACAAGAAGGCAACATTCTGATACTGTTCTATAATATATCCAAAAATGGGAGAAAAGAAACAGAAGAAAGTGAGTCTAGAGTGGGAAAAATCAAGTGGAAAATCGCTAAAGTATATACCTTAACCTAGCTTTGACAAAATATCTAGAACTCTACAGAGAAAAGAAAAAATCACCATGACTTGTCATTTTTCATGATGAACTTTGAGGATAAGTTAATTTGGAAAGTATGAGTCTAAGGTAAATGTCCAATTTGGTATATTGAACTCTGATATAGGATATTTTACTATTTAAATGAAATTTAAATTTCATTTAAAAAGTGTCCGCCAGGCACGGTGGCTCATGCCTGTAATCCCAGCACTTTGGGAGGTCAAGGCGGGTGGATCACCAGAGGTCGGGAGTTCGAGACCAGCCTGACCAACATGGAGAAACCCTGTCTCTACTAAAAATACAAAACTAGCCAGGCGTGGTGGCACATGCCTGTAATCCCAGCTACCCAGAAGGCTGAGGCAGGAGAATTGCTGGAACCTGGAAGGCAGAGGTTGCAGTGAGCCGAGATCGCATTATTGCACTTCATTCTGGGCAACAAGAGGGAAACTCCATCTCAAAAAAAAAAAAAAAACAAAACAAAACCAAAAACAGGGTCCTTCAACAAAGACTTTGCATACCTCCAGTAGAGAATATTTACCCAAATGAAAGGGGAAAAATAAAATCTGCAGATTGAAAGGATATATCGTGCTCTAGAAAAAATATTGTTAATCATGCCCCAGGAAATACATTTTCTCATTCTGTTATGATGTTCAAGGATAAGGAATACTTAGCGAGAAAAACAAGTCACCTTGAATAGAGAAGCTATAATAAAAGAACTAGTATCATGCTGATGACAGATGATAATGGTATAATATCTTCAAAATCTGAAGGGCGTGTATAAATCAAGAAGTTAACAAATAGCCAAGTCAAAGTACAATAAGAGTTTAATGTAACAAAGAGTAATCACCATTCAAAAAAGAAAATACTAAAATTTTGAATGCTCAAAAAAAGCAATTTACTATTTTGGTAGATAATTGTCAATCTGTAAGTCTTGCACCTGAACCAACTTCCTATTTTAAAGAAATCCTAGAAAGATGGGATTTGTCTTATCTGCAGAAAATAGACAGTATTAAATGTTTCCTTTACCCATCCGCTGACAGCTGGACCATGGACATGTGCAAGAAGCATAGCCAAATTCTCCCATCCACAACTAAGACTACTGAATGTGATGTATGTAATAGGGACATTTAGGTATTTTCATGGACTTTGGAGTAGAAGAAGAGGTATATTGTTACATGGAAATAACTTTCCAGAAGCATGGAAATGAATTTGCAGGGGCATCAAAGTACATTATCATTTCAATGTGTATCAATCATGTCAATGATCCAAGCAGTGGCAAGTATCTTCCCAGCTAACTACGGAGGAGGCTGATCACACAGCAGCATCTTGTCAATGCCTGGCCACCCTTGACTCCTGCCTGAGCCGAGTTCTCCAATCATTCTGTAAATTCTCTGAATTACTCAATACTTTTAAAATAAATTCATTCTCTCATGTTACCCAGTCAATTCAATTTCTATGTTTGCAAGCAAGAGTCTCCAATAATGTAATAACAAATTTCAGTCAAGCAAGACATGAATCAAAATTAAGACATCAAGTTTTGAGAAGATAGGCTATATTTCAACAATTCCCTTCATTTTAAATTAGTTGATTTTTCAAATTAAATGCAAATGAAGTTTAAATATATTTAACAACTTAATTTTAAAATATATATTAACTATATACTAATATATAGAAATACTATAGCATTTATATAAAACAGTGGCTATGTATCTTGTTATCTGGTTTTGTATCTGTATTTATCTTCAGAAAGGTGTCTGGAAGGATACTACAAGGCCACAGTAACCAAAACAGCATGGTATTGGTACCAAAACATACATAGACCAATGGAGCAGAACAGAGACCTCAGAAATAATACCACACATCTACAACCATCTGATCTTTGACAAACCTGACAAAAAAAAAAGCAATGGGGAAAGGATCTCCTATCCAGTAAATGGTGCTAGGAAAACTGTCCAGCCATATGCAGAAAATTGAAACTGGACCCCTTCCTTACACCTTATATAAAAATTAACTCAAGATGGATTAAAAACTTGAATGTAAAACCCCAAACCATAAAAACCCTATAAGAAAACCTAGGCAATACCATTCAGGACATAGGCATGGGCAAAGACTGCATGACAAAAATGCCAAAAGCAAGTGCAACAAAAGCCAGAATTGATAAATGGGATATTAATTTTCTATTAATGATTACTATTTTGGATTATAGGATTTCAGTTGATCGAATAAACTTCTTTGGTACTTTTCTATATTGCTTGAATACTGTATAAGACATTTATAATTTTTATATAACTAACAACATTATTATTTTTTAAGACATTAGAAAGGAAGATTTATGGGGCTTAAAACAAATAATATTTACAAGTTCTATTTTCCTCTGAGAGCACTACATGTTAGCTAAGAAAAAAGTTCTGTGATTGAGTGGCAGCATGTTTTAATAAAAAGTGCATTGTCCTAAGACGCAGGGCTTACTCAGATTCTTGACTGTGTCCTTGAAGTATTGGCTACCTTCACTGACCATTTTCTTACATGGAAAATGAACTAATCTGGCTAAATAATCTCTTTGTTTTTACATTTATAAAATTTTGTGACTAAAAATTAGAATTAATGACATACTTGAACAACATTTAACAACCTATACATGTGTATACACACATATATATTCATAGATAGTTCTATATAGAACTATAATATCTGATAAGGGTACCTTAAGTCAATGGCACATGATCTTTTTGGCCTCTTGCACAAGGAGTTTTCTGAATAATTTACTGTATTTTTCTCTGAATTAGGTCCCATATTTTATCACTAAGCTCTTTTGATAACTCCAATTTCTTTTTTTTTAATTTTATTATTATTTTACTTTAAGTTTTAGGGTACATGTAGGAAGAATCAATATCGTGAAAACGGCCATACTGCCCAAGGTAATTTATAGATTCAATGCCATCCCCATTAAGCTACCAATGACTTTCTTCACAGAATTGGAAAAAACTACTTTAAAGTTCGTATGGAACCAAAAAAGAGCCCGCATTGCCAAGTCAATCCTAAGCCAAAAGAACAAAGCTGGAGGCATCATGCTACCTGACTTCAAACTATACTACAAGGCTACAGTAACCGAAACAGCATGGTACTGCTACCAAAACAGAGATATAGACCAATGGCATAGAACAGAGCCCTCAGAAGTAATGCCACATGTCTACAACTATCTGATCTTTGACAAACCTGACAAAAACAAGCAATGGGGAAAGGATTCCCTATTTAATAAATGGTGCTGGGAGAACTGGCTAGCCATATGTAGAAAGCTGAAACTGGATCCCTTCCTTACACTTTATACAAAAATTAACAGATGGATTAAAGACTTAAACGTTAGACCTAAAACCATAAAAATCCTAGAAGAAAACCTAGGCAATACCATTCAGGACATAGGTATGGGCAAGGACTTCATGTCTAAAACACCAAAAGCAATGGCAACAGAAGCCAAAATTGACAAATGGGATCTAATTAAACTAAAGAGCTTCTGCACAGCAAAAGAAACTACCATCAGAGTGATAACTCCAATTTCAATCAGCATTTAAACAAATCCTCCAAGAAAAAAAGATCTCCTACTATTTATTTGTCAAGTTCCTTTACAGTCTTATAGAAACAGTCTTTAATTTGCAGAAGAGAAAAATTGACATACAAAACTTAACATAGCACTTAATGTGCCAGCACAGGTTTAAACACCTTACATATATTTACTCATTTAATCTTGACAATATTATTATTTCCTTTCTATAAATGGGGAAATTGCCTAAGATCACATAGCTACTAAGTGGTTGAACTAAATTTAAACCAAGGCAGTGAGGATCCTGAATCTGTGCTTTTACCCATTATGCAATACTCCTCTGTGTTACCAGCTTACCTCAAGTCACCAGTATTGAGCTCTCCTTGTGTCAGGTGCTGTTAGGCACTAGAGATTCAACAATGCATTCAACTCCTGCCTCAACTAAGTTGAAACACATTGCTTATTTTCTTTTGGAAGATTTTTTATTTTTTCTTTCCTTATAGTAAAATAAAATTTAAAAATACTAAGTTACTTACCTCACCAACATTTTTCAAGACTCCTCCACAAAACAACTCAAATCAGCTTAATTTGATTTGCCTCTCTTGTACACAACTTAGTTGCTCTCCTGAAAGAGCCTTACTATACATTTGAAAATCCTTCACTGTTTTCATACCTGTCTACCACCTCCTCCAAATTTAAGGAAAACTCAGTGACAAGTACATATCTCCCCCATGTCCTCTCCTTAGGGATCAGTTGGACAAACAACAGTTTTCAAGTTTTCAATAAGCTGAATGTCTTGTTAAAGCATCTTTTACATTGTTCAGGTGCAAGGGTTTACGTGCTTGTATTTGAAAGTGTTAGTGTTGGTGGTGGGGGAGAATAGGGAGATGAGATCTAGAGGTCAGAAATATTATAAATTCTTCAATTCTGAAAATAATTGTATTCCACTCCAAAGCAACTACTACAATTGACTATCAATATTAAAATCGTCCATTAATTCAACAAATATTTATGATGTGGCTACTATATACTCTATAAATTTCATATTATAAAATCAAACGTGATTAACTATTAAGAAATTTGAGTTCTCTAATTTAAAGATCTTATGCATACATATAATTTTTTAAAATAATATTCATTTTAAAAGCCTGGGGCTTTTATCCTTAAATATCAGTTTAACCATAAAATATTGATTAAAGAATTGAACATTTAATAACTAATTAAAATCTGTGCCTCTGATTTTATTACAAGCCATTATTGCATACACAACTTAATATTGGTTAATGTCCACACACCAGTAAGAAGATAATCAAAAATCCTTATTAATCTGGTAATTGAGTAAAATATCAATGTGCCTTTGTAAAACCTACTACTACACTATATCAGCTATTGAACTATCATTTAGTTTCTATCATTTTTTATTCTTTATCTAAAATAAAATATAAATCTAACGTTATGATTAAATATTTGACATTCCTCATGCCATTGCCAGATTCTAGAGACTCGCTTTTGAAAGTTGACTTTTATTTATTTATAGATTAGTTAATGAAAATATTTCCAGATAGTCTTTATTTAACCCATCACTATTTATATAGTGAATATAATTATATAGACATCATCTTTATCCAAAATTAGCCCTTGAACTTTTCACATGCAGTTGATCCCTAATCAGTTAAAAAAGAAAGCAATTTGCTTTTCAAATATATAGATTAAACAGACATTTAAAAATCATGGAGTAGAAGGAAAAATTTCGAAGTTTGGTGGTATGGAATATGTTTACATAATGGCAACAGTGTCATCCTCCCTCAGCTCTCAGCTAGCCTAATATTTTAAACAGCAAGGAGTACCATTTGGTAAGGCTGATTGTAAGGAGTTCTAGTTCCTGTAGAAATAGCAAGTGCCTCAATTTTAATGAACATTAGCTATTCAAGAATCATGGTGTGCCTTGTAAATCTTTTGAGATTTATAAATACAAATTCAACACAGTGGGTATTATAAATACCCACTTCAATTGTATTCTAAAGAAAAAAGTTTTTTAAGTGTTTACAAAAATACTCAAGATAATAGTTTAAATGTAGATATTTACTTTAGAGAATTAGGAGTTCTCTCTTTGAATGTAAAAATTCAGCCTTAGGCCAACAAAAAAGAAAATGTTAATTTTTAAAGTAGTGATAAATGGGATTTATATTTATAAAATTAAAAATAGGTACAAGAAATATTTTGATAAATACATGAAAACAGAATTAACCTTTTATTTTTCATACAGCTATAGTACTTTTGGTGATGACTTTAAGTCTCTAATAATAAAATTTATATATAATTTTAGTAGTGCATTCATGATTCTTCAGTTTGGAAAGATGATAATTAAAGTTAATAAAGGACAGATTAATTCAGACAATTTAGTTGTCTTCAAATATTCATTTGTATCTTTATTATTTGAATTTTGAATGTATTTCCTCCCTTATAGAAACAACACTGTAAATGGTGAATTTTGGTTCTCAGTCCAGCACTCAAATTTTATGAGATTTCTGCGTCTATTGCCATTTGCCTCTCAAACTTGTTCAAGATGATTTTAAAACCACAAGAGGAAAAGAATGGAAGAGGAGCATGGTAGTTAACAAACAGAACCTACAGTGATAGTAAAGGAAGCCCAGGAGGAGCTTTAAGCAAGAATCTCCCTTACTCCTGATGTCTGCTCTTACTTCCCACCCTGCTCCTTGGTTATAAATCCAAACTTGTCTTTACTGGATTTGGAGTCAAGCACAATCTTTCCCCTACCACAAGACCCTATTACAGTGGCCCCTATACCTATCATCATAGCCCCTCTAGAATAAATCTACTTTTCTGTCTTTAACAAGTGTAATTAAACACTTTTTTTTTTTTAAAACATCAACCATTAGTGCTTACCACTGCACAGGATGGCAGTGACTTTCAGTCTTTGGGCAGAGACCACTCCATATGAGAGACTTGTGCAAATCCAGTTTCAAAACACAAGGAGCAATGACAGAGTGGAAAAAGATGCAGGAAAAAAAAATTAAGAAACAAAGTTTTGGTGATATCTAAATTCAACTCGGGTATTAAGAGTCTTCAAATGACTCTTGAGTTGGATTTAGTTATCTAATTTTTTAAGTTCTTACTAAGCTAACTCAAAAGTACCTCAGGTATTTATGGGCTTGGTTAGGTACTATCCTTGAGCAATAAAAAGCTTAAGGTGATGTCAATAAATATTTATTTATGCTGTCATGATGTTCTGGGAATATCAACCTATTTCTCATTTTCAAAGTACTTTTGGAGATAGTCTAAATGGATTTAAAAGTTGTTGAAGTTTTTAGATATAAAATAAAAAAATGTCAGGTGTTAAGTCTCCCTCCTCTAGTTTTTTTTCCAGTTGCCAGGCCCTATATTTGTAGGACCTCTGTCAACAGAGTCCGAGCTGGTCTTGACCAAACCTAGGAATGTGTTATAAATTATTAAGTGAGTACTATAGCGAAATTGATTCATATAAGGCCAGTATCCAGCAGCCTGTGCACTCTCAGCCACTCTTTCTTCCTAACTCTACAATCATGTCCTATGATAATACAGGTGGACTTAGTTTCCTGACATCAGTCCAGCCTCCTAACGGGAAAATATTGACCACTATTCTGAATCCCAGTTACTTGGATTGGATCTAGATGCACCATGTAGATATTATCAGTCATTTCCCATCTTAATTCTCCAGCCCAAAAGTGAGTTAATAATGTCTCAAAATTTGTTTGGAGATTTTTATTTGAAGGTCTGATTAGATGAGAATCAGCACCATTCATCTGGTCCCCTTACTGGTCCACTGATGAAGAGCCAACATTCATAGCGGCTATACTACTGTTATTGGAAACTGAACTATAAATGCTTTCCAGATTAATTCTAACTCTCAAACAAGTAAGTTACTTTTCTCTGTATCCACTATCATTTATATTTTCCTCTCCACAGTGGGGATGAATTAAAGAAGTTCTTAAAGCAGAGTACATTATTTGGCATGTGTTAGCCAATACAGAAAACATGTAAGCTTCCTGCTTTCTTCCCACAACCCCCACTAATAGAGATGGAGAACTTCTTAAAAAAGAACCACACAGGTTTCTGAGGACAGCTTCCTGACATGATGTGGCATGAGTTATTCTTGGACTGAAATGGCCATTGCCTGGCCTCCTTTCAGAGGACAAATCAAGCAGCAGAGTTAGGCTTCAGCTGGTCCTTTGAGATACCCTGAAGGTACATGCCACAGAGTTATTTCCTGCCTTTTACGGCATGGGCTTTTTGCCTTCAGTCACTCAATTGATAAATTTTTTGCTATGTACCTTTGAAAGTTTATTTGTTCCTCATATTTTTCAAAGAAGTCTCCCTGTTTTTAATCAGTTTTCTAAAGATGTCTGAAATACCTTTAATCACAGTCATGCACACAAGGCAACTGCTCATCAAGGGTATCCAGCAAAGCATTTAGACAAGCATACTATTTGCATAGAAGGATTGGATAATGTATCACATTACCAATAAGCACTTTCTTTAGAGTAAAACCTTATAATCTCAATCAGGAAAAATATATAACACAATTAGCAATGGGGTCTATATAGAAGGTAAGAATTCCTAAGGTAATTTTTTCTTGAACTGTACATTCTTAAGGCTCTACAGATTTGTATTAGTTATCTGTTGCTATATTAAAATTACTCCAAAATTTAGTGGCTTAAAACAATAAGTGTTTACTATACCACAATCCGTGGGTCAGAATCAGAATACACTTTTGCTGTGTCCTCTGCATGAGTCTCTCACAGGCAGAAATCAAGGTACCAACCAAGACATATATCTCAAGGTTAGATTGGAGGAGGATATACCTCCATTCTCACTTATGTGGCTGTTGACAGGCATCAAGTCTTCACTGGACTGAGACATCAGATGCTTGCCAGTATGCTTCTTAATAGGATAACTCAAGACATGGCAGAGTGAGAGTTGAGAGAGAGAAAGAGATGGGCAGAGAGATGGAGAGCGAAGGTGAGAAACTCGGTCTTTTTGTAATCCAGTCTTGGAAATGAGATTCTATCAGTGTTTCTTGGATGCCTGCCAGTAGGCCCAGCCCACAAGCAAGGAAAGCCGGGATCCATGGAAGCTATTTTAGAGGCTGCAGACTATTGCATAATTTCTTTTTCATTTTCTTTTATTCACTTATTGAAGTTTCTAAGAACATACTGTGTGCCTAGCTTTGCTGGTACTGAGGAAATAGAAATGGAAAAGAAATATAAGGCCTTTTCATAAAGGACCTTCTACGGGGAAAGGACAACAAAATTGTAAAACAGATTTAAAATAGAATTATATTTTAACAAGGACCATATTTTAAAATATGCCCTGAAATATATTTCTTCTTTTAAACAAGTTTACTTCTGTATTAAGGGACACAAAGAATGTGAAGAAAGACATCACCAGACGAAATGTATTGTCCATTGGTTTCCCAAAGACTCAGGAGAAAGAGAGAGGGGATGACAGGATTTCAGATGCATACTCTTTCTACCCACTCTCAGCTGGAGCTGGGATGTAGTGAGAGGAACACAGGAAACAGGTAAATATGTTTAGAAGAATTCTGGACCAGAGAAGTTTGCTTCTGTAATCTCGTAACATAGATTAGAAAATTTAAAGCTACCTTAAAGAATCACTGTGCCCAATATGATGCCAATCAGGAAGTAGTGTGGAAATTGCAGAACGCTAGGGCAAATTAAGGCAAGGTGTGCAGTGGCCCAATGTCTGAAGGACACTTGCTACTAGGAAGCTGTCACAAGGAGCCCATTGGATAGCCCAAAGACCAACAAATGTATCAGCTGATAGAGCCAGCAGCTGAGAACATCAAGGCTAGAACTTAGCCTGGGTAAAGGAACATTAGAGACAGCAGAGAAAAGACCAGGAGTTCCACCAGGCTTAGGCTTCAACACCAAATGCCTTCTGGGAAATGTGAGGATTCATCCCAGATCTGGAATGAGAAGTAGATGGGAGAAGGGATCTACCAGCTAGCTGCTCTTTCTTCAAGCAGCAGGTAATTAATGTGTCTCCTTAATGAGCCATTCTATTCACAAAATTTTTTTATTATTACTTCACTTCAGCTAGATATCTCATGCCTTTAGGAGCTGGCAGTTAGCTGAATTATATTAAAAATTTAGAACGAATGATTCAGCACTTTTTGTTCTACAGCAGTATAGGCAGTTAAGAACATGCTCAGGTCAGAACAAGAAAAGATTTGATGCAGTGAAAAAGGAGAAATATATTGCAGGCAGAAAATTTATATTTTCTTGTGCTGTTCCTGAAATTTTTACATCAAATTTTCAGGTATTATCAATAGAGAAAAGGTATATATTTTACTTTATTATTTTTTCGTTAAATAACTATAATAAACTCAATTTCTATAATTTGCATTTAGGTTAAATACATTTTGATTTCACTATTTTTTCTACAAAGAATTGACAGATGTATTAATAAAATATTACAGCTGGTTTACAGACAATGAAGCATCATCAATTTTTGTGTACAGTTAAAAAATGATATACAACATCTGTAGACCAACAATGAGTTTTACTATTTTTCCATTCTCTGCACAGTATTGTTCAAAATAATAATTCAATGTACATTTTGTTAATGAAAGCTTCTAACTCATTAAAATAAAATTTCTGATTTTCAAAATGTTGCATTCACTTTTATTAATCTGTTTTATTTATCTCAGTTTTCAGAATATAATTAATCTATGTTGATCTGCTTGATACACAAAATGCTCTCTTTTGGGAGCTGTCATTATCTAGCTGGTATTGCCAACTTCCTATTGAAACCCTGTTTTTGATTAAACTTTTTCAAAAAAACAAAATCTTACAAACCAAGAAGACTTGAATAATAAAATGTAAATTAATAATTCCAATAGAAAATACACTCTGGGATACTTCCGCCCCAAAAAAATTATTCACATGAAAATATATGACTTTATTGTGATAATTTAAATATATATTTTTTCTGTATAACGTTTTAATAACTCCTTTGTCTAACTTACTTTGTTGTATGACTATAGTATACAAAACATGTAACATACAAAATATGTGTCATCTACAGTGTGATCAGAAGACATCTGATCGACAGTAGGTTATTAGTAATTAAGTTTTGGGGGAGTAAAAAGTTACATGGCAGATTTTTAACTGCTGCTAGGAGACAAGAGAAGGCCAGTGCCCCTAACCCCTGAGTTGTTCAAGGCCAACTGTAATGAGAAGAGTATATATCATTTAAACTACTTACACATTTTTAGGAAATGTTTACAAATTAAATACAAAAAAGATTTTTAACAGCAGTATGATATTGATAATCTTAGCACAAAAGAATGTTGGTAAATATCTCATAATTAAAATTCAGTATGTTGCTTGTTGATTTCAGTTCCCTATAGATTCTGGATATTAGGACTTTGTTGGATGCATAGTTCACAAATATCTTCTGTTATTCTGTAGATTGTCTGTTTGCTCTGTTGATAGTTGTTTTTTTTTTTTTTTTCTGTGCAGAAGCTTCTTAGTTTAATTAGGTCTTATTGTCTATTCTTGTTTTTATTAGAATTACTTTTGGGGACTTCACCAGAAACAAAATGCTTCAAAACCAAGTCCAAAACTATGTTAAGTAAAATTTTAAAAAAGCATTATATCTAAACATGAACACTAAAGATTATCCTTATATTACATATAGCCTTATAAAGAAATCTGCTGTGAATAATACAGGATTGTTAGCAGGTCTCATTTACTTTTCTTTGTTCTTTGACAGTGTAGACAGAAATCATTTATGACTCTCTGTTAGTCCGTTTTATGTTGCTATAAAGTAATATCTGAGACTGGGTAATTCATTTTTATTTTCCTTTAATTTACCTCATAGTTCTGAAGACTGAACAAGAAACATAGTGCCATCTGCTTTAGGTGAGGCCTCAGGAAACTTACAATCATAGCAGAAGGCAAAAGGAGGAGCCAGCGTATCACACGGCAAGAGAAGGAGCAAGAGAGACAATAGTAAGTGCCAGACTTGGGAGCAATCAACTATTACACTAACTTACTCCCACAGGGAGGGCACCAAGCATTCATGAGGGATCTGCCTGTGTGACCCAAACACCTCCCACCAGGCCTCACCTTCAACATTGGGGGTCACATTTCAATATGAGATTTGGAGGGGATAATCATCCAAACTATATCAGACCCTAATTTCCACGAGCTCACTGTAGATCTGTGGCTACACATGATCATACTGAACCTGCAGTGAAATTGTGATGTCAATTTGATGAGAAATAAATCCACATGAATCAGATAATTTCTGATAGAATATAACTGATACAATGCTTTACACTGACAACACCTGTCCTCATATTATGTGCTATTTAATTATTGTGATAGATGTAATGTATGGTCTATTCCTTCAGAACAATCAAATACACAATGATAACACCCCTGCTGCTGATCATCCCTCATCCCTGGCATAACCCATCACCTCAAACACATATAATGTGCTTTCTAGCTCAGTTCTCCTCAGACTCTGATGCAGCCTTGTGAGGCAAAGCCACATATCTTATCCATGCTCAGATTTGGGGGCTTCTGAGCTATGGAATCCCCTTGCCAATGCCTGATGTCTCCCCTCCCCAGCATTAGCCCAGCAGTTAATTCTCCAGTGTGCAGGGCTCCTCTCTTAGGGGTTTCAACAAACAAGAAAAGTCTAATTTGCAGTCCCAGGATGGAGTGGGTTGTAAAACCTCTACTTTCTAAACCTATCTCTGCCACTCTAATTCCTCTCTCCCAGTGCATCTCCTGTAGCCTAAAATGGGATCATCATCTTTTCTGCATACCGGGAAACTTTGCTTAGGTAATTTTCTATACTCTGTGTAGTTTAGAGGACCACAAACATTTATTCTTTCAAAATTCTGGCTTCTGCAAAATAAAGTCACTTTCAAGACTACTTTTGTTTCTGCTCCAGGTATTAAAAATTATATTTGAAAGCCAAAACTGCTTGTAAATAATTTGTTCCTTTTCTCTGGCTGTATCTCCCTGTCCCAAATCAAAGATTACCTTAACTTTAATAAGCAGACAGCTGAAGAGCAATATACATTACTGAGGTTTTTTAATATAATATTTAAAAAGTATTATTTCACTATTATACTAAAAAAGAGATGGAGACTGACACACGTTTTTTAATTTGTTTCTTATATTTTGATATCATGTTGGATGATCTGATACAAGCTTGTTGTCTACTATGTATATAATATGTATTTTTCATGGATTTGTAGAGAGGAAATGTAGTTATCATGAATTAGGAATATTTGTAGTATATAGCTGCTTCTTCTATCTAATTATTATCAAAAAACAGTGTTGCAGATATATTATTGACCAAATTGTTGATTAATTATGACCAAAGCTATTTTAGCAAACATCTTAAAATCGGATTTTTTAATTTAGCAAATAAAACTAAAAGGCACTCCATTATATTATTCGAATCACTTCGACTAACTACTTACATGTACCTTTTGTCACTAGTTTCTTTGAAAAGGTATATAAGTAACTTACATATCTCCAAACTCAATATGCTCCAGGACCTTTATTATGTGTCCATGTGTTTGTGTGTACATGCATGGTCATGTGTTTGTCTTGGTTTTTGTTATGACTAAAATAACTGTCCCTTTATCTCCTTTGGAAATCTATTTAGGCAAAAATCAACCATCACATAAATGTGGCTCCAGTTAGGTTTCTTTTTGCTCACTTCTAGGAGTACTTGGAATACCATTGTATGCAGACCCTTTCTCCCTCTCTCTTTGAGTTCTTCCATTTTTACCCTGCCTTCAGCTTAGCTGACTATTAAAAATACACAGCTGTGCACTTATTTTATAAAGAATACAAATATTCCAGCCACCTGTCAAAGAGTATAACTTCAAAAGCTCTGTCACTAAATAGAAAGTTTTCAAAAGCCCAGTAAAGAGAAAAGGAGTTAATAGATATTGAATTTGCTATTCCAGTAATATAACAGGAAGCATAGGCAATTTATTCATCTTTTAGATAATTCAAAATTTATCCTTGAAATAAGCTAGATCATCAGAGAGCCACACACTTGAGTCTCATTACTTTTGTTCTTCTCTCCTGCTGTGTGTTTTTGTGCTTTGGTATCATGACATCAATCTATATTAAGAACATGTTACTAGGTTTATGGTTAAACTTAAATTTTATTATCAAGGGTAATTTTGTCTCTCTTTAGAAAATAGTTTGTTTTTATCTTATAAATTCTAAAATGTAGGCATATAATATCTCCCCCTTTCTCTGACACACACACACACATACACACACACAAAAATCGCTGCCGGAAGTTTAGTATTACATTTGTGTCCCACTTCTGGCAAGCATAATATGTACTAATCTAAATAATTAAAGCTGTTTAAAAATTTTCCCACTCTATTTTTATTTTGCCTTTCATTTTCCAGATTTATTGTATCTTTGATTTGATATATCTTTATAAAATGCTTTAAATCATTTTCTAAACAAGGAATAAGTATAAGTATATTCTATTTTAATATTTTTAGTCTCATATTATCAAAATTATAATTTAGCACCTTCTTTTTTCTCCTTGCTTAAGGGCATGCATCCCCTTGCTGTCTGGCATCTGAATAAAAATATAGAATAGGACAGATGTGGTGGCTCATGTCTGTAAACCCAGCACTTTGGGAGGCCAAGAGAAGTGGATTGTTTGAGCTCAGGAGTTCCTGAGCAACATAATGAAACCATCTCAAAAAAATACATATATATTTACATATATATGTGTGTATATATATAAAAATATCCTCCAAGAAACTTTGGATGTCATGAAATAAAAACTCACAAAAATATAGACATAACTTGGGGAAACTGTAGGTTCATCTCTAGACCACCATAATAAGGCAAGTCACAAAAATTTTTTGTTTCCCAGTGTATATAAAAGTTATGTTTACATTATACTATAGTCTATTAATTTGTTCAATATCACTATGTTCTTAAAAAGGTATATACCTAATTTTAAAAATATCGCATTGCTAAAATATATTAATGATCATCTGAGCCTTCAACCAGTCCTAATCTTTTGATTGGCTGTGGGTCTTGCCTCAATGTTGATGGTTGCTGACTAATCAGGGTTGGGGTGGCTGTGGCAATTTCTGAAAATAAGACAATAATGATGTTGGCCACATTGAATGAATCTTCCTTTTATGAAAGATTTCTATGTAGTATATGATGGTATTTTATAGCATTTTTACCCACAGGAGAACTTTCAAAATTGGATTCAATCCTCTTAAATCCTGCTGCTGCTTTGTGAACTAAGTTTATGTAATATTCTAAATCCTTTGTTGTCATTCAACAATGTTCACAGAATCTTCACCAAAAGTATATTCTATCTCAAGAAACCACTTTCTTTGCTCATCCATAAAAAGCAACTCCTCATCTGTTCAAATTTGATCATGTGTGTGTTAGCTCTTTCTTACATTGCTATAAAGGAATAACAGACTGGGTAATTTATAAAGGAAAGAGGTGTGATTGACTCATTCTGCAGGCTGTAAGTGCATGAGACTGACATCTGCTTGGGGTCTGGGTAAGCCTCAGGAAACTTTTATTCATGGAGTAAGGCAAAGTGGGAACAAGCATGTCATGTGGAGAGAACAGAAGCAAGGGGAAAGGTGTCATATACTTTTAAACAACCAGATCTCATGAGAACTCACTCACTATTGCAAGGACAGCACTAAGCCATAATGGATCCAGCCCCATGACCCAAACATCTACCACCAGGCTCCCCCTCCAACATTGGGGATTACATTTCAACATGAGATTTGGGCGGGACAAATATCCAAACAATATCAATGCAATTACAGCAATTCAATCACATCTTCAGGCTCCACTTATAATTCTAGTTCTCTGGCTGTTTCTACCATATTTGCAGTGGCTTCCTTCACTTAAGTCTTGAACCTCTCAAAGTCATCCAGGAGGGTTAGAATCAACTTCTTCCAAACTCCTGTTCATGTGGATATTTTGACCTTCTCCCATGAATCACTAATATTCCTAATGACAACTAGAATGGTGAAGGCTTTCCAGAAGTTTTCCAATTGACTTTGCCCAAATCCATAAAATGAATCATTATCTATGAAAACTATAGCCTTACAAAATGTATTTATTAAATAATATACTCAAGGGTAAAAATTACTACTTGATCCCTGGGCTACAGAATGGATGCTATGTTATCAGGCATGGAAACAACATTAATCTCCTTGTACATCTACATCAGGGCTCTTGGGATACCAGGGCATTGTCAATGAGTAGTAATATTTTGAAAGGAATCTGTTTTTCTGTTCAGTTGATCTCAACAGTGGGCTTAAAATATTCAGTAAACCATGCTGTAAACAGATGTACTATCATACAGAATTTGTTGTTCCATTTATAGCTTTTGATTTTTCTTTTTTTGAGATGGAGTCTTGCTCTGTTGCCCAGGCTGGAGTGCAGTAGGAGATCTCAGCTCACTGCAACATCTGCCTCCTGGGTTCAAGCGATTCTCCTGCCTCAGCCTCCTGAGTATCTGGGATTACAGGCACCCACCACCACACTTGGCTAATTTTTGTATATTTAGTAGAAACAGGGTTTCACCGTGTTGGCCAGGCTGGTCTTGAACTCCTGACTTCATGATTCACCTGCCTTGGCCTCCCAAAGTGCTGGGATCACAGGCGTGAGCCACCCTGCCCGGGTATAGATTTCAATTTAAAGTGAGAAATGTATGACTCTTTGTTCCATTTGTACAGTTAGAGGGCATCTTAGGGTTATTAATTGGCCTAATTTAAATATTATTGTGTGAATATCAGTGTGTAGGGAGTGAATAGGCAATGTCAGTGAATATCAGTCACTAGGGAGGCTTGAGGGAAGGGATAGAAATGAAGAAATGGCCAGTGGATGAAGCAGTCAAAGCACACACAATATTTATTAAATTTGCTGTCTTATATGGGCACATTTCTTGGCTTCCTAAAACAATTAAACAATGACATCAAACATCACTGATCACAGATTACCATATCAGATAGAACAGTAATGAAAAGATTTGAAATATTGTGAAAATTATCAAAATGTGACACAGAGATACAAGATGAGCACAAGCTGTTGGGAAAACGGTGCCGGTAAACTTGCTTGACACAGGGCTGCCACAAACCTTTGATTTGTAAAAAATGCAGTATCTGCAAAGTGCAACAAAGCAAAACACAATGAGACAATACATGCCTGTAAAAACTTAATTTGTTTCCTTTAATAAATTATTTCAGTTTTTTGTGTATACAGACATTCATAGTTCTATCAATGTTGTTAAATTTTGACTTATCCTATAGAATATTACAATAACCTGTGTGTACTGTTACAATTATGCAATATCAATGCTATGCACCAGATTTTATTTCCGTGTTCTCCTTCTGCTTACTTCATTATGTATGTTGAAGATGCTATAAATGTTCTGGATGATTTTTATTTTCTATTTTTCATTGCTATAATTTTAGGTAGAGTTAGTCCAAAGTAATGTTGTAGCTGTATAGAACTGACTTGAGCAATACTTATTCATTATTTACCCATTAAAGCACCTCTTAAAAGTTATGATAATAAATAATGAATTGTTTACATTCCTATTTCTTTCATTAGTCTCTAAGTTTCTAGAAAGAACAGTCTTACACATTTTGAGGTCTTCAGTGCCAATACAGGATATAGAATACAGTATGTATTCCATGAACATTGTTGAATAAATTTTTAATGAATTTTATTCATTAAATCATATTTTTATTAATTAATAAATAAAATCATATTTTTATTAATTAAGACCTTGTAAAATGAGATGAGTAATGATATCTCTTATTGGCTGTCTTAAATTTTCAGCTTCTTCTACCCCGTGTCTGTTCTGCTACCCAAAAAGGTTTTCTTACAAATATCCAATTTTTAAGTGAGTTTTAATATCTCCCCCAAATTACCACCTTTAGAAATCATACATTCATAGAAGCACACTTTTGTCACTCGATTATTTGAAATATCTTGGTAAGATATGTTAAAAATATATATGTGAGTGTGTGTGAGTATGTGTGTGGAGGGGTGTTAATTATAAAGCCTAAGCATATGGGGATTGTAAAAATAAATGAGAAAAAAAATCCCATCCTAATATTTACAAGCCGATAGGAGAGACAAGCACAGGTGTAATTCTAATATAATATGTTTATCAGTGAATATTAAATATTTCTTGAATGTTCCCTTGTAAACCATTATCAAGTTCAAGCCATTTTAGTTTATTTTTCCAGTGTTACCAACTTTGTATGCCTTCTCAGATTCGTTCTCTTAATTCCTTCTTTCCAAAGAAGATTCCTCTTTACAAGCTCACCTAGCTGGCTCATCAAGTTCCTATAATCACTGAGTTCCTGTGTCTCCTGCCATTTTCTTACTTAGATGAAATGCCACCTTATTGGGCAGAGACTATAGCTTCCTGAATGATTGCTATGTAGAAGGCAGCCACAACCCAGAAATTCAAGGAATTTCATTCCATGGAGTGTTCCTTGACTAATGAGAACTGGGAGATGTAAGAGAAACAAGCAAAGACATTTCTTCTCTTTTTTTCTTTTCATACTCTTCTCTGAGGTATGATTTCTCTTTACAGTTCTTGCAAAGAAAGTCCCACATGTAAAGAAACCTATGCCTGCTGAACAAGGTCTATTTCACCTTGAGAACTGTGAAAGGTGTCCAGTGCAGTGATAAGCACATTTTTCATTGTTGTCACCTCATTTTGATTTCACTCTCAACACCCTGGGCTTGCACTTCCCAAAGAATGTAGCTTTAATCCTTGCCTCAGGCCTTGATTTTTACAAAATCAAAACTAAGACCATACTTAAAAATTAAACACAATAGTGTTTTGAATTTTTCTTTCTATTATATAGACTTTCTTCACCTGTGTGGGTGATGAACCTATGTATTTTTTTTTTAATTTCTGAATTGTTTACCAAAGTTTTTAGAACATAGTGTTGGTTATTTAAATCTGTATGAAGATATTCATCAAAGGTAACTTTTTCTTCTAGAAGGATGCTTACCAGAGGCTTGGAAGAGTAGTGGGGGGACTTGGGAGGAGGTAGGGATGTTTAATGGCTACAAAAAAAAAAAAGAAATAGAAACAGTGAATAACTATTTGATAGTGCAACAGGGTGACTATAGTCCATAATAACTTAATGGTACACGTTAAAATAGCTTAAAGAGTGTGATTAGATTGTTTGTTTTGAAATGTCTTTGTCGGATCTCATGTACCCTACAAATATATACACTTACTATGTACTGTAAAAAATAAAAAAAAAAATTAAATTTAAACAAAGCAGTACAAGAAGAAGAAAAAAGAGAAAAAAATAGAAATGATAAACATGCTGAGTGGTGAAATTAGTTTACTATTAAGAAAATCCTTAGAAATCACTTTTTGAGTTTCTCTGTATAACTGTGTACATCTGTTAAGTTAGGCTGTCTGAAACAGTTAAGCATGAAAATATACTTGTTTGGAAACTATTTTGAAAGACGTAATGAAAACCAGTTGAATTCTTAACTTGAATTTTTTTTATAAAATAAAATTGTGAAAAACTTAAGAAAGTTAAAGTGAAGTAATTTTAAAGCTCCCCCCCAAATTAGTCATTCTTTAAATAAGATATATAACATAGTCAACTCCTGTAATACCCTCCACTGGATATCAACAGCATACATGCTACAGGTTAAATATTTGTAAAAGGATAGCTAATTTTATGACTACCCATAAATATTTTTAGCCTAGGACAATGATATGGGTAATATTCAGGCATTTGATTTTCTTTAATTTTTTTTTTTGGTGAATGATATAGTGGGGTTACTTTTTGTAGAATAAAGACACTTGTAGAGAGCACAAGTGGTAAATTACAGAATATAGGAAATATCCCTCACACTTATAATTATATTTAAACAGCAGTAAATGAACTAAATTAGTTGTAAAAGTCACTCTTGTCAGCATGGTGAATTGAACATTTCCATATGACTCTTACTTTTCTATGTCATTAATATCACTCCATCTCATAGTTATTTGTAACACCTTTGCCTTATACCATTTAAACTAGATAAGAGGGACAGGAAAAAATATAAGTTGGCCTGGTTTTCTAAAAAAAAAAAAAAAATGTATTCATCCCTTCTATAACTTGTGAAGGGAAAATAAATCTAGGGGCCCCCAAATCACTAAGCTAAAGAGAAAAGTCAAGCTGGGAACTGCTTAGGGCAAACCTGCCTCCCATTCTATTCAAAGTCACCCCTCTGCTCACTGAGATAAATGCATATCTCATTGCCTCCTTAGGTCAGGCTAATTCAGAAATTCGAAAGAATGCAACCATTTGTCTCTTATCTACCTATGACCTGGAAGCCCCTTTCCCACTTCAAGTTGTCCCACCCTTGCTTTGAGTCATCCCTCCTTTTCCAAACTGAAACAATGCTTGTCTTACATGTGTTGATTGAGGTCTCATGTATCCTTAAAATGTTTAAAACCAAACTGTGCTCTGACCACCTTGAGCATATGTAAGGGTTCACAATCTTAAATGATATGTAAGTGTGAAAGAGAATAGTGACCAGAATATAACTCTCAACGAAGTGTTTTTAATCAAATTAAACTCATGGGAAAACCTTGAAAGGACAAATTAAAAAAAAAAAAAAAACTAGCATGTTAGTTACCTGTTTCTCTTCCAGATGTATTCTCTTGTCTTATTCACCTGCTCTCTGTCTCTGAGCAGTATGAACAGTATTATCCTGTATTATCAATGGCTTCTCTGATTACATTTGGCCAATAGGAAAAGGGAACACCAAAGCAGATTAAAGGGAGAGAAAATAGTAAGATCAATTTACTCTAGCTTTTTTATAAGAGGCTAATACAATTCCCTGTCAAAGGAAAGTCAAGAAACCTAATTGTATATTCAATATGGACTCCCATTATCTGTGTTTCTCTGACTCAGTCAGTGTGAACACCATCCTTCTCAGATGGAAAGTAAAATGTCTAAACTAGAGCAGCTCTGTATTTTCATTCAGAACCTAGGAAATATTTATTTTCTAATCTAAATCATTCACTTAATGTATTTTACTATTTCCTTTGGCTTTTGTTCACACCCAAATACTCTTCCAATGCCTGCTTCAGCACGATATCCCCCATGTGTTTCTAACCATTAGAAACAATGAAAGCAGCAGTTTCTGAAGAGGTAATGAGGAGCAATGGAAGACACAATGAAGGAGCAGTGGTCATTCAAAAAATATTCTCCTGTCTAACCACTGAATTACTAATTCCCTCTTTTTTTCTAATTTTCTCCTCTATAAACTACTAAGCACCACTTTCACAAAGTCTCAAGGATGTTCTAATGAAAAGCTGCAAATATTTTCATCACTATTTGGAGAAACATGGTGATTTTTATGTAAGGAATAATATTTACAGATTTTAACTTCAAAGTCCTTCTTTCCCATCTCCAGTTGCTCTTGCTGGCCCAGAGACTCTTCCTCATTCTTTGTTTCACTCATGTCCCTATGAAGAGACCACCAAACAGACTTTGTGTGAGCAAAAAGGCTGTTTATTTCACCCGGGTGCAGGCGGGCTGAGTCCGAAAAGAGTCAGTGAAGGGAGATAGAGGTGGGCCGTTTTATATGATTTGGGTAGGTAAAGGAAAATTAGTCAAAGTGGGTTTTCTTTGGCAGGCGGGGAGGGGGGGTAGGGGGCAGGTCACAAGGTGCTCAGTGGGGGAGCTTTTGAGCCAGGATGAGCCAGGAGAAAGAATTTCACAAGGTAATGTCATCAGTTAAAGCAGGAACTTTCACAACATTTTCACTTCTTTTGTAATTCTTCAGTTACTTCAGGCCATCTGGATGTATATGTGCAGGTCACAGGGGATATGATGGCTTAGCTTAGGCTCAGAGGCCTGACATTCCTGTCTTCTTATATTAATAAGAAAAATAAAATGAAATAGTGGTAAAGTGTTGGGGCAGCAAAAATTTTGGGGGGTGGTATGGAGACATAATGGGTGATGTTTCTCAGGGGTGCTTCGAGTGGGATTGGGGTGGCTTGGGAACCTAGAGTGGGAGAGATTAAGCTGAAGGAAGATTTTGTGGTAAGGGGTGATATTGTGGGGTTGTTAAAAGGAGCATTTGTCATATAGAATGATTGGTGATGGCTTGGATGTGGTTTTATGTGAATTGAGAAACTAAATGGAAGACACAAGGTCCAAATTAAGAGGAGAAAAAACAGGTATTAAAGGATTAAGAATTGGGAGGACCCAGGACATCCAATTAGAGAGTGCTCAAGGGGGTTCAGTCTAGCCCTGCCAGCAAAGATTATTTATTTACTTTAAGAGGGAGTTGAGAGTGGTGGTTTGGGGATAGCACCAGGAGATATCAGCTGTGATGGCTTGGAGAAACAGTGTAAACCAGCAGTGTGAACAAGAGCAGGGTATTTATGAGTAGTTGAGAATGGTGAATAAGAGTATGACTAGAAAGAAGATAGTAAGGATGACAAGTTTTTTGGGTTGCAGTCCAAGTTGATCTGGTGTCTGGAATGAGAATGGAGTCTAATGAAAAGGAGCGTCTATATAAGAGCTCAAATGGGCTGTACCCTGTAGCATTCTGAGGACAGGCCCGAATTCTGAGAAGGGAAAGTGGTAAAAGTATTGTCCAGTCCTTTTTAAGTTGGTGGCTGAGCTTGGTGAGTGTGTTTTTAAAAGACCATTAGTCCGTTCTACCTTTCCTGAAGATTGAGGATGGTAAGGGATATAAAGGTTTCACTGAATACCAAGAGCCTGAGAAACTGCTTGGGTGATTTGACTAATAAAGGCCAGTCTCTTATTGGACTGTATAGAGGTGGAAAGGCCAAACTGAGGAATTATGTCTGACAGAAGGGAAGAAATGACCATGGTGGACTTTCAGACCCTGTGGGAAAGGTCTCTACCCAGCCAGTGAAAGTGTCTATCCAGACCAAGAGGTATTTTAGTTTCCTGACTCGGGGCATGTGAGTAAAGTCAATTTGCCAATTCTGGGCAGGGGCGAATCCCCGAGCTTGATATGTAGGAAATGGAGGGGGCTAGAACAATCCCGGAGGGGTAGTAGAATAGCAGATGGAACACTGAGAAGTAATTTCCTTGAGGATAGATCTCCATGATGGAAAGGAAGTGAGAGGTTCTAAGAGATGGGCTAGCAGCTTATAACCTACATGGAAGAGGTTATGAAATGATGACAGAATAGAATGGGCCTGTGAGGCTGGAAGGAGATATTTTCCTTGGTCCAAGAACAATTTGCCTTGTGTGGGAAGAGATTGATAGGTGGAAATTTCATTGGGGAGTAGGTGGGAGTGGCCAGATGAGAAGAAGAAAAACTGCTGTGAGGGATAGAAGTTGGAACGCTAGCTGCTTTTTTAGCTACCTTATCAGCATAAGCATTATCCTGAGCCATGGGATCTGATGCCTTTTGATGGCCCTTGCAGTGAATGACTCCAGCTTCCTTTGGAAGTAAAGCAGTCTTGAGAAGAGTTTTTATTAAAGAGGCATTAATGATGGAGGACACTTGCATAGTGAGGAAATTTCTTTCTGCCCATATAACAGCATGATGGTGCAGGATATGAAAGGCATATTTAGAGTCAGTATAAATACTGATACATAGTCCTTTTGCAAGAGTGAGGGCTCGAGTTAAGGCAATGAGTTTGGCTTGTTGAGAGGTAGTGGAGGGGGCAGAGCGGTAGCCTCAATGATAGGTGTGGAAGATACTATAGCATAGCCTGCCTTTGCTGGTGAGTGATGATTAGGCCTGGTGGAACTGCCATCAATAAAACAAGTGTGTTCAGGTGAGGAACAGGAAAGAAAGAAATATGGGGAAATGGGGTGAATGTCAGATGGATCAGAGAGATACAATCATGGGGGTCAGGTGTGGTATCAGGAATAATGTGGGAGGCCGGATTGAGGTCCAGGCCAGGAACAATGGTAATTGTGGGAGACTCAGCAAAGAGTGAGTATAGCTGAAGGAGCTGGGGACCAGAAAGTATATGTGTCAGGTGGGAAGAAGAAAATAAATTTTGGAAGTTATGAGAACTGTAGAGAGTGAGTTGAGCATAGTTTGTGATTTTGAGGGCCTCTAAAAGTATTAGGGCAGTGGCAGCTGCCACACACAGACATGAAGGCTAGGTTAAAACAGTAAGGTCAAGTTGTTTGGATAAAAAGGCTACCGGCTGCAGTCCCAGCTCTTGTGTAAGAACTCTGGCTTGACTGAAATAATGGGGGCTGTCTGTGAAGCCTTGCAGCAATACAGCCCAGGTAATTTGCTGAGCCTGATGGGTGTCAGGGTCAGTCCAAGTGAAAGCAAAGAGAGGCTGGGATGAAGGATGCAAAGGAATAGTAAAGAAAAGGTGCAAAGGAATAGTAAAGTAAGCATGTTTGAGATCCAGAACAGAATCATTGGTTGTGGAGGGAGGTATTGAGAATAGGAGAGTATATGGGTTTGGCACCATGGGGTGGATAGGCAAAACAATTTCATTGATAAAGCGCAGATCCTGAACTAACCTGTAAGGCTTGTCCAGTTTTAGGACAGGTAAAATGGGGGAATTGTAAGGAGAGTTTATAGGCTTTAAAGGGCCATGCTGTAACAGGCAAGTGATAACAGGCTTTAATCCTTTTAAAGAGTGCTGTGGGATGGGATATTGGCATTGAGTGGGGTAAGGGCTATTAAGTATTTATGGGATGGTAAGGGGTGAATGATCAGTAGCCAAGGAGGGAGTAGAGTTGTACTATACTTGTGGATTAAGGTGAGGAGATACAAGGAGAGGATGTGAAGGAGGCTTTGAACTGGGGGAAAAGGTGGCAATGAAGTGTGGCTGTAGCCTAGGAATAGTCAGGGAAGCAGATAATTTAGTTAAAATATTTTGACCTAATAAGGGAGCTGGGCAGGTGGGGATAACTAAAAAGGAGTGCTTAAAAGAGTATTGTCTAAGTTGGCACCAGAGTTGGGGAGTTTTAAGAGGTTTAGAAGACTGGCCATCAATACCCACAACAGTTATGAAGGCAAAGGAAACAGGCCCTTGAAAAGAAGGTAATGTGGAGTGGGTAGCCTCCATATTGATTAAGAAGGGGACGGACTTACCCTCCACAGTAAGAGTTACCCAAAGCTCGGCATCCGTGATGGTCTAGGGGGCTCCCAAGGCAATCGGGAATTGTCAGTGTTCAGACACTAAGCTGAGAAGATCTGGGAAGGAGTCAGTCAGAGAGCCTTGGGCCAGAGTTCCAGGGGCTCTGGGAGTGGCTGCCAGTGAGTTCAGTGGGGTCCCACAGAGATGGGACATGGCTTAGGAGGAATCCCAGGCTGCAGGCATTCCTTGTCCAGTGGCCAGATTTCCAGCACTTGTAGCAAGCTCCTGGGGGAGGAAGATCTGGAGGAACCCCTGGCAGCTGTGGTTCAGGTGTTTGGAGTTCTTGTGTGCTGCAGATGTGGCTGGGGTCTGTCTCAGAGTGGAGGCAAGGAATTGCAACTCAGAAATACGTTGCTACTTGGCTGCCTCTACTCTATTATTGTACACCTTGAAGGCCAGTTTGATTAAGTCCTTTTGTGGGGTTTGAGGGCAGGAATTTAATTTTTGGAGTTTTATTTAATGTCAGGAGTGGATTGGGTAATAAAATATATATTGAGAATAAGACAGCCTTTTGACCTTTTAGGGTCTAAGGCTGTAAAGCTTCTCAGGGTTGCTGCCAAATGAGCCAAGAACTAGACTGGATTTTTATATTTGATGAAAAAGAGCCTAAATGCTAACTGATTTGGGAGAGGTTGGATAAAGAAAAAGGAGCATTAACCTTGACTATGCCTTTAGCTCCAGCCACCTTTTTAAGAGGAAATTGTTGGGCAGGTTGGGGAGGGCTAGTGGCAGAACAAAACTGTAAGCTGGACCGGGTGTGAGGAGGGGAGGTGATAAAAGGATTATAAGGTAGGGGAGCAGAGGATGAGGAAAAATTGAGACCTAACTCTGCCTAGCAAGGAGCAGCCTGGGGTGGAGGGGAGAGGTCGGATGGGTCCGTAGAAAAGGAAGATTCAAAAGACTCAGAGATGCTTGGGGTTAGGACTGAAGGGACAGGTGGGAGGGAAAGAAAGAAGATTTGGGATGATTTACATTGGGAACAGAGACTAGGGAGGGACTGATGTGTAAAACAATGCCTGCAAGTCAGGCAACTCAGACGCTTTCCCCATTTTAAGACAAGAATTATTTAGATCTTGTAGGATGGAAAAATCAAAAGTGCTGTTTTCTGGCCATTTAGAGTCATTATCAAGTTTGTATAGGGGCCAAGTGGCATTGCAGAAGAAAATAAGGCATTTAGGTTTTAGGTCAGATGAGAGTTTAAGAGGTTTTAAGTTCTTGAGAACACAGGCTAAGGGAGAAGAAGGAGGAATGGAGGGTGGAAGGTTGCCTATAGTGAAGGAGGCAAGTCCAGAGAAAAAAGAGGGTAGAGACATGAAGAGGAGGGGTGGGGGGTGTTTGCCCCCAAGGAAAGTGGAGAGAAAAGAGGGTAGAGACATGGAGAGAAGGGGTTGGGTGAGCAGCCCTGGGCTGCAATGTGGGTGAGCAGCCAAAGCAGGCATCCCCACAATTGATTTGCCACCAAGGGAATGTGGTTGAATGACCAAGGCAGGCGTCCCCATGTTGATCAGACACCAATGAAATGTGGGTGAATAATCAGGCAGGCATCCCCACTTGATTAAACACCAAGGGAAGGCTGTCTTCCCCAGTCCATCGCCGGCGCCGGAGTTTTGGATCCACGGATAAAACACATCTCCTTTGTCTCTACCAGAAAAGGAAAGGAACTGAAATTAAGAGAAGGGAGAGATTGAAGTGTGGTGTCAAGATTGAAAGGAGAAAGAGGTTGAGGGATAGTGAGAGAGTTTGGAGAAGAGAGTAAAAAGAGGGCGTTTACCCCATTTAAGATTGGTGAGGTGTTCCTTGGGCTGGTTGGTCTGAGGACCAGAGGTCGTAGATGGATCTTTCTCATGGAGCAAAGAGCAGGAGGACAGGGTATTGATCTCCCAAGAGAGGTCCCCCGATCAGAGACGGCACCAAATTTCACTAGCATGCATCTGAAGAGACCACCAAACAGATTTTGTGTGAGCAAAAAGGCTGTTTATTTCACCTGGTTGCAGGCGGGCTGAGTCCGAAAAAAGAGTTAGCAAAGGGAGTTAGGGGTAGGCCATTTTATAGGATTTGGGTAGGTAAAGGAAAAGTAATCAAAGGGGGTTGTTCTTTGTCAGGCAGGGGTGGGGGTCATAAGGTGCTCAGTGTGGGAGCTTTGGAGCCAGGATGAGCCAGGAAAAGGAATTTCACAAGGTAATGTCATCAGTTAAGTCAGGAACAGGCCATTTTCACTTCTTCTGTGATCCTTCAGTTACTTCAGGCCATCTGGATGTATATGTGCAGGTCACAGGGGATATGATGGCTTAGCTTGGGCTCAGAGGCCTGATACTTTGACCCAAAGAATAGCAGGATTGCAGCCTGGAATACTGGAAAAGTAAATGAATTGCTTTAGTCAGAGGATAGACAGGAGTCAGAAGCCAAATCATTTTATATGTGTAAGAGTCCAAAGTTGGAAAGAAAAAATAATTTTGTTATAGCTTTTGATTTTCAAAAGAACTCAGTTTTAGAATTTGAGACCAAATATGGAGGACAAGAAAAAGTTCAGGAAAGTTAATCAGAGAGCTTAGAAGAATGCAGCATGAAACATAAAGACAATTTATTTGTACATGCAAAGATAACAAAAGCCTTCCTGATCAAGGAAGGAACAAGCTTTGGAGAAAATCAAAAGGAATCTGAGCAGGGTTTAAATGTTGCCTCGGTTCTTGAGAAGGTGCCACTGTTTTCACCTTTTAGGGAGGATAATTGGGTGTGGTTACAGCCCTTCACCTGACTTAATTTGTATGAATGTACCTGTCTTCTTACTGAGAAAATAAAGGCTAATAGCTCCACCAGTAAAAAAATTCTTGAAGCAATAAGAAATTTTTTTGTGAAAGAAACTCTTAGCAATTCCAAATATTATGTCCAGGGAACCACAATTTTTGACTTAGCTTTGTATGTGTATGTCCCCATTACATTATAAACTCTTCACACATAGGTGGAAATACGGCACACACTTTGTATACATGATCCATAATTATTAGTTAAATGAGTAACTAAACTTCATAATGTAGCTTATCTTCACTTCTGTGGTTATGCAATTGGTAGAACTGGAAGAAAGCAGGATTTTCAGGGAGTTACAAAAGTCAGAGTTTGCCAATAATATAGTCCTTTAGCTTCAATTTCCAATCAAGAACACCATCCATAAATATTTAAAACATTTTAAATATATGTTTTATGTCATTTTCACATTAGCTTAAATATTATTTGTATCATATAATTTTATCAATCAAAACCAAATTAATCAAAATCAATTCTCAAATTAAATTAGATTTTCCATTCTGATATATTTTCTTAGTAAGTTCAAAGAGATTGCTATAGTTAGTCCTGGCAAATGTGTAAATCATTCAATTCAATTTGGAGGGAAGTCTATTCCTGTATGCCCTCTTAGATTTAAGTTATATTCTATGACATCTTGTATACTCTGAGGTTGTTGAGGCACATATCTGTGGTTTACGCATTGAAGCAGAAACAGGGTAAACACTTATACAACTGTCTTAATAGTTGTAGAGACTGGTGTTTCCATGTTCATCTTTATTTTAACCCAGTGTGGATTCTAGCTAGGAATGAAAGAATCAACTATGCGGGTCTTTTTAGCTCTACAACTGTGTATAGATTCACCCTGAGTTATTGATTCACCTACTTAGCTACCACCATTCCCTTCACAAAGGCATCACAAATGCTGCCAAAACTGGTATTGAAGAACTCCAAAGGTCAGCTGAAGAACACAGAGCATTCTTTTTGCTGAATGTCTGCGGGATATGTTTTGCTTTCCTTTACTTACTCCTTTTGGAATTAGTTATGACTTTTTTTAGCATAAACCCATCAGTATTCTCAGAAACTAAGAATACATTTTTATTCACCTAGGTACATTGAATATCCCATATCTCACAGAATGAAACAGATTTAGCATTACAGTTGCTTTTTTTAAAAAAGAAATAAAATATATAGTTATTTTCTAATGTAATTCTAAATATAATTTTCCCCAGAAACTATATTGAATACAAGTGTGTTTTGAAAGCACTGATTTTAAGTATTTGTATTTGTTTTATATCACAGGAAATAGTAGCTACAAATTTAGAGACAGATTCTTACTTTTCTAAATTGATTTATAATATTTTTCAAGAAATATTTCCTTCGCCCACTTTTTGATGGGGTTGTTTGTTTTTTTCTTGTAAATTTGTTGGAGTTCATTGTAGATTCTGGATATTAGCCCTTTGTCAGATGAGTAGGTTCTGAAAATTTTCTCCCATTTTGTGGTTTGCCTGTTCACTCTGATGGTAGTTTCTTTTGCTGTGCAGAAGCTCTTTAGTTTAATTAGATCCCATTTGTCAATTTTGGCTTTTGTTGCCATTGCTTTTGGTGTTTTAGACTTGAAGTCATTTCCCATGCCTATGTCCTGAATGGTATTGCCTAGGTTTTCTTCCAGGGTTTTTATGGTTTTAGGTCTAACATGTAAGTCTTTAATCCATCTTGAATTAATTTCTGTATAAGGTGTAAGGAAGGGATCCTGTTTCAGCTTTCTACATATGGCTAACCAGTTTTCCCAGCACCATTTATTAAATAGGGAATCCTTTCCCTATTGCTTGTTTTTCTCAGGTTTGTCAAAGATCAGATGGTTGTAGATATGTGGCATTATTTCTGAGGGCTCTGTTCTGTTCCATTGGTCTATCTCTCTGTTTTGCTACCAGTACCATGCAGTTTTGGTTACTGTAGCCTTGTAGTATAGTTTGAAGTCAGGTAGCGTGATGCCTCTCACTTTGTTCTTTTGGCTTAGGATTGACTTGACAATGCAGGCTCTTTTTTGGTTCCATATGAACTTTAAAGTAGTTTTTTCCAATTCTGTGAAGAAAGTCATTGGTAGCTTGATGGGGATGGCATTGAATCTATAAATTACCTTGGACAGTATGGCCATTTTCACGATATTGATTCTTCCTACCCATGAGCATGGAATGTTCTTCCATTTCTTTGTATCCTCTTTTATTTCATTGAGCAGTGGTTTGTAGTTCTCCTTGAAGAGGTCCTTCACATCCCTTGTAAGTTGGATTCCTAGGTATTTTATTCTCTTTGAAGCAATTGTGAATGGGAGTTCACTCATGATTTGGCTCTCTGTTTGTCTTTTATTGGTGTGTAAGAATGCTTGTGATTTTTGTACATTGATTTTCTATCCTGAGACTTTGTTGAAGTTGCTTATCAGCTTAAGGAGATTTTGGGCTGAGATGATGGGGTTTTCTAGATATACAATCATGTCGTCTGCAAACAGGGACAATTTGGCTTCCTGTTTTCCTAATTGAATGACCTTTATTGCTTCTCCTGCCTAATTGCCCTGGCCAGAACTTCCAACACTATGTTGAATAGGAGTGGTGAGAGAGGGCATCCCTGTCTTGTGCCAGTTTTCAAACGGAATGCTTCCAGTTTTTGCCCATTCAGTATGATATTGGTTGTGGGTTTGTCATAGATAGCTCTTATTATTTTGAGATACATCCCATCAATACCGAATATATTGAGAGTTTTTAGCATGAAGTGTTGTTGAATTTTGTCAAAGGCCTTTTCTGCATTTATTGAAATAATCGTGGTTTTTGTCTTTGGTTCTGTTTATATGCTGGATTGCATTTACTGATTTGCGTATATTGAACCAGCCTTGCATCCCAGGGAAAGAAGACAATTATGCAGCCAAAAAACACATGAAAAAATGCTCACCATCACTGGCCATCAGAGAAATGCAAATCAAAACCACAATGAGATATCATCTCACACCAGTTAGAATGGCAATCATTAAAAAGTCAGGAAACAACAGGAAACAACAGGTACTGGAGAGGATGTGGAGAAATAGGAACACTTTTACACTGTTGGTGGGACTGTAAACTAGTTCAACCCTTCTGGAAGTCAGTGTGGCGATTCCTCAGGGATCTAGAACTAGAAATACCATTTGACCCAGCCATCCCATTACTGGGTATATACCCAAAAGAGTATAAATCATGCTGCTATAAAGACACATGCACACGTATGTTTATTGTGGCACTATTCACAATAGCAAAGACTTGGAACCAACCCAAGTGTCCAACAATGATAGACTGGATTAAGAAAATGTGGCACATATACACCATGGAATACTATGCAGCCATCAAAAATGATGAGTTCATGTCCTTTGTAGGGACATGGATGAAATTGGAAATCATCATTCTCAGTAAACTATCGCAAGAACAAAAAACCAAACACCTCATATTCTCACCCATAGGTGGGAATTGAACAATGAGAACACACGGACACAGGAAGGGGAACATCACACTCTGGGGACTGTTGTGGGGTGGCGGTGGGGGGAGGGATAGCATTAGGAGATATACCTAATGCTAGATGACGAGTTAATGGGTGCAGCACACCAGCATGTCACATGTATACATATGTAACTAACCTGCACATTGTGCACGTGTACCCTAAAACTTAAAGTATAATAATAAAAAAAAAGAAATATTTGTGCTTAATGCTGCTTCTTGAGCAAATTAATTTGGATTATCGTTGGTTTATTTCATAATCCAGTTGTGAATCTCTGACACATGAAAAGGCATATAATAATTTTTCAAATTAGAATTATAATTTTTATATGTATTTAAAGTATGCATAATATATTAAAACTGTATACTAATATTTAATGTATTAAATTGCATACATATTAAATATATGCTTACACAGACATTCTCACTTAAAGTAGTAACATGGAAAAAAGTCTGTTGACTATGCCACCTTTTTTTCTAATGAGTTTCATTAGAAGATTTACAAATTATTCTAAAAGAATTTTTGTTTGTTTGTTTATTAGTTTGATTTAGGTTTTAACTTTCTGGTATACTTGGAAAAATCAGGTCCTTTGTCTTACTAATTTAGAAGCCAAAAGTTGAATCTTTGAGGAAAATATAATAAATCCTTCCTTGAAATAATAAAAAAGACTAATAAAATAGTTAATGACTACATAATAAGGTATGTTTTCCCCTAAGGAATTAAAATGCTTACCATTTTGTCTCTAAGTTTCAGAATTAAATAAACAACATGTCTATCCAATGTGAAAGAACCAGATATTTGGTTAAAAACTAATTTAATTGTTTTAAAGCCTACCTCATATGTTAATAGATAGTTGATAGAACCTATTTTCACTGCTAGAAAATATCTGACTGGTGTCAATGAGGACAATGTATTTTACTGACATTAAGTCATGTAAATCCAACTGCCTTCCTCTTGTTTTTTATTAATCTTTCACAGATTTCATTTTTCTCAGATATTTCTTATAGGGCTCCCAGTACAAAACAAATTATTGCCAACTTTAATTTCTTAATGATTTAAGTCCCTGTTAAAAAAAAAAACTACAGCCACTGAATTAATTGTAATTACTCTACTTCAGTTTCTAGTTCTTTGATAGTCAAGTTAAATAATTGTTCTGACATATTATGGATACATTTTATTAGCATCCTTTATAAAAGGCTTATGTGATCCAAGAAAGAGACATGTTTTCAGGTTGTCTATTCCTTGTCATCTATTTTTATTCAATAAATTTCCCTTGAGTAGCAGAAGTTACTGAAGTTTTAAAGGCAGATTTTGAAATTGACATTGGTGTAGAATACTTTCTACCAACTTGCTGCATATTAAATTTCTTCGCAGAAATCAGATAAATGTTTGGTAGATGATAAAATGAAATACACATTCCCTTTTATGAGTCAGTTTCTGCCTCCAGCTTACAAATGACTGTAAATCATTACCATAGATGGTGCCTTGTAATTTACAGAATGAGCAAAATTCCTGCACTGTGAAAGAATTAAGCACCAAATCAGATAATTTTTACTTCAAGGAAAATTTCTCATTATCCACAACTTTTCTAAGGCAAGCCTTAGTCCTGTTTCCTCCTGAGTGCCAGGAAGATTTGTAGGTAGTAAGAGAAATGCAGGAAAGCCACAGGTCATGGGCAATTGCCTGGACTGCTGAATTGTTTAGGTAAGTCACTAACAACTTCTAAAAGAGTACTAAGATGAGTTAAATGTGTTATGACCGTTAAATGATTTACACCTAATAATTTAAGGTGCAAATTTTGACCTGTAAGATCCAAAAACTGGGACAGAAGAACCAATTTAGGTTAAGTATCTTATAGTGTTTTATTCATTGTGGGATATGATGAGGTTTCTCTTCAAATAGGCTGATCAATCCTTTATTCTTTAATTCATAGTGCCCCCTACCCCTTTTCCCTTTTTCTCTTTTTTCTTCCTTTCTGCCTTTGTTACATGCCCAGACATGCCACAGTACCAGGCATTATCAGTACCAGCTCACATTCCTTTCCTTATCTGGAAAGAATACTAGCTCTCTAGCTCATTGCAGACACCCCTTCCCCTTTCCTCTCTCTCCCTTACGTGCCCACCTTATCTAAAAAAATTTCAAATGTTTAGCCCGCCGGGATTACTTTAGATTGTATGGCCTGACCCCAGCCAATGGGGAAAGTGTACAGGGGCAGGACTTGTGTCAGGAATAAAGGCTCTTGTGCCCCTTTGTTCAGGTGTGCTCTCATGGTGACTGGCCAAGGAGAAGCACCCCTCTGTGCAGAAGTAAAATTACTTTGCTAAGAATCCTGTGTTTGAGTGTTCAATTTCCTTAGGATTTTGAACGTTATTCCCAGCATTCATAAAAAGGCACTTAGAATGAAAGACCCTCTGTTAGTTATGAAAAATGTTAATAGATATTTTTCTAACCCAGAGGAAGCTCTATTCTGATTTAAGAGTTCCCAATCAAAGTAAGCCACTTAAAACAGCCCCATTTAAAAAAAATATTTAAAATATCTCAGCCTTCTTTGGTAAATCATACACTTTACTATTATAGCTTTTTTATTGCAAATTGTGTAAATCTGTAGATAATATGCTATGAATTTTAAAAGAAAAACCAGAGGAAAGCTGTTAGAATTAGAATGGTAAAACTTTTAGTCTGTTGAAGATAGTATACTCTTGTTGTCTTTTCAGATGTTTTCTGACATCTTTTAAAAAGCAGTGATTACTTTCCATGCCATTTTTTTAAAAGTCATTTGTTCTTTCACCATATTTTTGTTCACTCAAATAGCTAGTTCTTTTTTCTTAATAGTATCATTATTTTTTACTGGCATTGTTGAAACAGATACGTGAATATATGTTAATAAAAATATTAGAATTATTAATTTTTAAATTTTCTTTGAGACTGACTCTCACTCTGTCACCCAGGCTGGAGTGTAGTGGCATGATCTCAGCTCACTGCAACCTCTGCCTCCTGGGTTCAAGCGATTCTCATGCCTCAGCCTCTCGAGTAGCTGGGATTACGGGCTTGCACTACCACACCTGGCTAATTTTTTTGTATTTTTAGGAGAGGCAGGGTTTTCCCATGTTGGCCAGGCTGGTATCAAACTCCTGACCTCAAGTGATCCACCCACCTCTGCCACCCTAAGTTCTGGGATTACAGGCATGAGCTACTGCACCCAGCCATTAATTTTTAAATTAATTTTAAACTCCCATATGGAAATGGGGCTGGCCAGTTTTCACTAACAACTGTTTCAGTACTGACTGAGTGGTTAAGTTAAATATTAAAAGCCAGTTCCCTTATACAAAGGCTGGGATGTAACAAAAGCCCATGAAGAGTTTTGCCTAGGCCTTTCCTGGGCCTTAAAGCATGATAAAATAATGAAGGAATTCTTAACAGACCCATTTAGAATTAAACACGTTTTATTGCGGGTCTGAAGAAACTCCCCAGGCCTCCAAAACAAGTTTACTGGGGGTCTGAAGGAACTCCTCAGTGATTTAGCAGGAGATAAGGTAAGGGTAGTCACCCCAGCACCTGGATCCATTTAGATTACATACATTTACTGAGGCTCCAGAGAAAGGTCTTCAGTACACAGACCTTAGTTACAGATTAAAAGGAGTTAATCACACTTAGATGATTCTTTAGATGAATGCACACTTACACATATACATATAGCTTAGAAAGTATATAAGCTCTGGAAAACTTTGGAATTTTGAGTTGGTCTGGCAATAATTTCCAAGCCTTCTCTCTGTAACTGGTTACAGAAATAAAAACTCTGTTCCTCCCCAGTTCATCTGCATCTCATTATTGGGCCACAAGAAATAGCAGCCAGACCATCAGTTTGGTCTGGTAACAGAAATTTTCAAGTATAGTTTCTGTCATCTCAAGCTAAACTTTAAAGAACACTTTCAAATATTTTTTATAAACTTCAAACAGTTTAATATCAATACAGTTTAATACAAACACCTTTGAATAGTTTAATATAAGCTTGAATAATTTAATATAAACAAATTTTGTTTACGATTTGAAGAAATCTCCTGCTTATGACCCTAACTTTTTCAGTTTTGATGGGTGAATACAGCCAGTAGTATAAAATAAGGTGGTATTTCAATGCAGAAAAATAGATAAGCAATGATTTACTTGTTGTGTTTATATGTATGCTTATTATATAACCAAATATAGCAAACTCTTTCAATAAATGTTGATGCAGTCTAACCAGCACCCATTCCCTCTTTTTTGGTTTGTAAAATAATCAATCTTTATTCTGTTTAGTCTAAGCCAACCATATTAACTGTTGCCAATTTTTTTTTCTTTTGAGAAACCTAGAGTTAAGCCAATTAGTACACAGCGTTCTCCTAGAGTTTATTTGTTCAAGAGAGGGTAAATGGACCAATCAGGCTGAACATAGGGATTTACATTCCATACTTAGAAGAAAGTTTCTGTTTCTCACCATACTTGAACAAAATGCATGTTGCCCAGTAGGTGCTGGTAGGCATCTTTTGCTCAAGAACAAAGTCAAAGTCAATACCAAATAAATAAATAAATCCTGAGAAGTGGAGAGATATGGAACCAAAGCCCTAATGGCATCAGGTCAGGATCTTGTTCTACCTCTGGACTTCTTGCTGTGTGAGATAAGAAACATTATCATATTTAAGATTCCTTTTACTTTGTAGGCAAAAGTATCCTAAGTGATATGGCATCTTAAGTATGTTTTTAAGTAAGTAGTTGTAGCACCTATTTAATGTTAAAAATTTACATTTATTGAATTCATATATTCATTTTAATACTGCAGATGACTTCTACATTAGCCTAATAAAACAAAGACAAGCCATTTTAATCTTCCAGTGACATGACTACTGTGAGTACTTAACACCCATTACTTACAAATGGCACCAAGTTCCCAATGTCTCTATCCTAGGGCAGGATACTCTGAGAGTAGGCCATTATCCACTCAGGATGAGTGTCAGTGTCTATTGTTATGAGATGAGTAGCTCCTTTTGGCCAGCTAACTGACTTCTAGATCCTCTCTAAGATTATTGTTAAAAAGTCTTAAGAAGTTAACTTTGGGTCAAAAAATGCACTTAAGATTTCCCCTCGAACTCAAGCATGCACAGTGTCTTCCATTACTGTTTCTCCTCTTCTTTCTATCATACATTTAACCCTGACTGATTCATAATAAAATTTCCTATCAATTTTGTTATATCAGTAATGTGAATTTATTTCTCATTAATTTATTTTATTCTAAGACTTTTTTAAGTAACATTTTATCAGCTCAACTGTTTCATTTTTCTTCAGATAACAAGTGAATAATGCACTAAAATTAAAAAATCATTATGACCAAGTCTCACTAAATTGTACCAAATGAGCTCATATTCACTTTATCACATATATATATCTAAGCCCAAATATACCTAATGTCTAAATTTAAATACCTTCAACATGAATATTACTAATATATTTTACCAAGAAGAGGTTATAGTAACATCCTTTGGTAATATCTCAGTATAAACAAGCTGATAACTTGTTCTGTTCTCATAAATATAAAAGTATAAAATAAGGTTTTGTGGGGGGTTGTTGTTTTTGCTTAACATATATGGAGTTTAGGAAGACAGAAGGAGTTTTAGGCAATCTCTTACACACCAAATAAACTTCTGAATACTTTCTAAATGCATGTGACTTTTAGGTGCATACATGGATTGATATGGTTTGGCTGTGTGTACCCACCCAAATCTCATGTTGAATTGTAATTCCCATTATTGGGGTAGGGACCTGGTAGGAGGTGATTGGATCATGGGAGCAGATTTTCCCCTTGCTGATATATTGTGATAGTGAGGTCTCACAAGATCTGATATTTTAAAAGTATGGGGTACTTTCTGTCACTCTCTCTGTCTCTCCTGGCAAAATGGGAAGAAGGTGCTTGCTTCCCATTCACTTTCTGTCATAATTGTAAGTTTCCTCAGGTGTCCCAGTCATGCTTCCTTTTAAGACTGTGGAACTGTGAGTCAATTCAACTTCCTTTCTTTATAAATTACCTAGTCTCAGGAAATTCTTTACAGGAGTGTGAAAATGTAATACAAAAAAATTGGTATGGGGGGGTGAAGCACCGCTATAAAAATATCTGAAAATATAGAAGTGACTTTGGAACTGAGTAATGGGCAGAGATTGGAACAGTTTGGAGGGCTCAGAATAGACACGAAAGTGGGGGAAAGTTCAAAATTTCCTAGAGACTAGTTGAATGCTTGTGACCAAAATGCCAATAGTGATATGGACAGTGAAGTCCAGGCTGAGGTGGTTTCAGATCGAGATGAGCAACTTATTGGAAACTAGAGTAAAGGTCACTCTTGCTATTCTTTAGCAAAGAGACTGGTAGCATTTTGCCCCCACTTTAGAGATCTGTGGAACTTTGAACTTGAGAGAGATGATTTAGGGTATCTGTTCGAATAAATTTCAAAGCAGCAAAGCATTCAAGATATGACCTGGCTGATTCTAAAAGTGTACACTCACATGTGTGAACAAAGAGATTATCTGAAATGGAAACTTATATTTAAAAGAGAAGCAGAGCATAAAAGCTTGGAATATGTGCAGCCTGACAATGTGGTAGAAAATAACGCATTTTTCTGGGGGAGAAATGCCTGTTGCAGGAATTTGAATAAGTAAAGAGAAGCCAAATGTTCATGGCCAAATAATGACATAAATATCTCCAGGGCATTTCAGAGACCTTCACAGAAACCTCTCTCATCAAAGGTCTGAAGGTCTAGGAGGAAAATAATGCTATCATGGGCCAGGCACAGGTCCCAGCTGCTCTGTGCAGCCTCAGGACATGGTACACTGCAACCATGCTTCAGCTCTAGCCATTGCTAAAAGACGCCAAAGTACAGCTCTGGCCGTGGCTTCAGGGGGTGCAAGTTCCAAGCCTCAGTGGCTTCCACATGGTGTTGGGCCAACTGGTGCACAGAAGGCAAGACTTGGGGTTTAGAAACCTCTGCCTAGATTTCAGAGGATGTATGGAAATGCCTGGATGTTCAGACAGAAGTCTGCTGCAGGGATGGACTCCCTCATGGAGAATCTCTACCAGGGCAATGCAGAGAGGAAATGTGAGATTACAGCCCCCACACAGAGTCTCCACTGAGGCACTGCCTGGTGGAGCTGTGATAATGGGGCCACCATCATCCAGACCCCAGAATGGTAGATCCACCAACAGAGTGCACCATGTCCCTAGCAAAGCTGCAGACATTCAATGCCAGCCCATTAAAGCAGCCATTGGGTCTGTATCTTGCAGAGCCACAGGGGTGGAACTGCCCTTGGGAACTGGCCTTGGGAGGCCAGTTCTTGAATCAGCATTCCCTGGATGTGAGACATTAAGTCAAAGGAGGTCATTTCAGAGCTCTAAGATGTAATAACTTCCTGGCTGGGTTTTGGACTTGCCTGGGGCCTTTGGCCCCTTTGTTTTGGCCAATTTCTCCAATTTCAAAACAGCAACATTTACCAAATACCTGTACTTTCATTGTATCTTGGAAGTAACTAACTTGTTTTTATTTTACAGGCTCATAGGTAGAAGGGACTTGTCTTGTCTCAGATGACACTTTGGACTTGTACTTTTGGGCTAATGCTGGAATGAGTTAAGACTTTGAGGCACTGTTGAGAAGGCATGATTGGTTTTGAAATGTGAAAAGGACATAAAATTTGACAGGGGCCAGGGGCAGAATGATAGGGTTTGGCTCTGTCCCCACCCAAATCTTATCTCAAATTGCAATCCCCACATGTCATGGGAGAGACCTGATGGGAGGTGATCGCATGATGGGGGCAGTTTCCCCCATGCTGTTCTAATGATAGTGAGGGAGTTCTTATGATATCTGATGGTTTTAAAAGTGGCAGTTTTTCCCTGCGTGCTTTCTCTCTCTTGCCACCTTGAACAGAAGGTGCCTGCTTCCCTTTCACCTTCCACCAAGATTGTAAGTTTACTGAGGCCTCCCCAGGCCTGCAGAACCACGAGTCAATTAAACTTCTTTTCTTTCTAAATTATCCAGTCTCAAGTAGTTCTTTATAGAAGTGTGAAAGCAAAGCAATACATGGAATCAGAAATAAATCCTACTATCAAGAGATTTAAACAGACTAGAAAAATGAAAGTTAAGAAAAATAAAAAAAAATTTTAATTGAAAATTACTAGCACCAAAAAAGTACAGAAAAAAATAAAAGATGGAAAATGAAGTGGGAGATAACATTTGCAGTTTGGAAATGCATTAAACTTATTAAGTAATATTTTCACTAAATTTATTTTGTCATTTACAAAAAGGTGAAGTTACTGTGCATCTTTAAGTTAAGATGAAAAAATGTTAAGGGTTATTTAAATTTTAAAATGGGTGATTACAAATCTCTAAAGAGGTGTATAAGAAAACTGACTTTATAAATTATAAGTTAAAGGTATATGAAAATATTTTTCCCTCTTTGTCTTAAGAATGTCTTTCATTCCAAAAATTATGTTAAAAATAAGAAAATACAGCTGAAACAAGATACTCTAAAATGTTAACCATGATCAAACCAGGGTCTCTGAAACTGCATTGAATATGGATTAAATTATAAAAATTGAGGCCAGAAGACTTATTTAAATTGCTGATAACAAAAATCAACCTAGATTTCTACATTCTATGAAACTACCCTTCAAGAATGAAGAAAAAAATAGGCCTTTTCCAGATTTAACAAATCTGTAAAATTTTCACCAGCAGATCTGCACTAAAAAAGGTTAATGGAAATCTTAATTTAGTAGACTAAAAGAATGTAATTCCAGTTGAATATTCACATCTTCAGGAAAATATGAAGAACTGGAAATGATATAAAAGCAGATAAATTTAAAATAATGTTTCTTCTAACTGGATTAACCTAGATAAAATTGTTTAAAAATATTGTAATACTGTATTGTGTAGCATATCACTTATATGGCTCTAATATGGCAAGCTCTTGTATGATTATACAAGATAAGAGGTGAGTTAAATGGACCTTATACAGTAGCAAAATTTTACATGTATTTAAAGTTGTTCAATATTAACTATACACTAGTTGCGGTGACTTATGACTGCAATCCCAGCACTTTGGGAGGCTGAGGCAGGCAGATCGATTAAGTTCAGGAGCTTGAGAGCAGCCTGACCAACATGGTGAAACCCTGTCTCTACTAAAAATACAAAAGTTAGCTGGACATGGTGGTTCATGGCTGTAATCCAGGCTACTCAGGTGGCTGAGGCAGGAGAATTACATAAACCCAGGAGGTGGAGGTTGCAGCAAGCTGAGATCATGTCACTGCACTTCAGCCTGGGTGACAGAGTGAGACTCCATCTCAAAAAATAAAAATATAAATAGAAAACAAATATGATATGGTTTGTCTGTGTCCCCACCTGCATCTCACCTTTCATTGTAGTTCCCATAATACCCACACGTCATGGGAAGAAACTGGTGGGAGGTATATTAATCATGGGTGCTACTTTTTTCCATGCTTTTCTCATGATAGTGAATAAGTCTCATGAGATCTGACAGTTTTATAAAGGGTTTTCCCCCTTTTGCTCGACACTTCTCCTTGCTGCCACCATGTGAAGAAGAACGTGTTTACTTCCCCTTGCACCATGACTGTGAGTTTCCTGAGGTCTCCCCAGCCTTGCGGAACTGTGAGTCAATTAAACTTCTTTTCTTTATAAGTTACCCAGTCTCTGGTATGTCTTTATTAGCAGCATGAGAATGGACTAATACAGTATATTGGTACCAATAGAGTGGGGTACTTCTCTTAAGATATCAGGAAATGTAAAAGTGTCTTTGGAACTGGGTAACGGGAAGTGGTTGGAACAGTTTGGAGGCCTGAGAAGAAGATAGGAAAATGTGGGAAAGTTTGGAATGTCCTAGAGACTCATTGAATGGCTTTAATCAAACTGCTGGTAGTATATGGACAATAAAGTCCAGGCTGACGTTGTTTCAGATGGAGATGAGAAACTTGTTGGGAACTGGAGTAAAGGTCACTCTTCCTATGCAGAGACTGGTAACATTTTGCCTCTCCCCTAAGGCTCTGTGGAAATTTTAACTTGAGAGAGATGATTTAGGGTATCTGGTGGAAAAATTTTCCTAGTGGCAAAGCATTCAAGAGGAAAGAAAGCATAAAAGTTTGGAAATTTTGCAGCCTGCCAATGCTATAGAAAATAAAAACCCATTTTCTGGGCAGAAATTCAAGCTGGCTGCAGAAATTTGCATGAGTAACAAGGAGCTGAATGTTACTCACCAAGACAATGGGGAAAATGTCTCCAGGACATGTCAGAGACCTCCACAACAACCCCTCTCATTACAGGTCAGGAAGCCTAGGGGAAAAAAAAATATTTCATGGGTGGGGGCCAGGGCCTCCTTGCTGTGCACAGCCTAGGGACTAGGTGCTGTGTGTCCCAACTGCTCCAGCCATGGCTATAAGGGTCCAAGGTACAACTCAGGTGGTGGCTTCAGAGGGTACAAGCCCTAAGCCTTGGTGGCATACACATGGTGTTGAGCCTGTGGATGCACAGAAGTCAATAATTGAGACTTGGGTGCCTCCACCTAGATTTCAGAGGATGAGTTTCCAGGCAAAGGTGTGCTGCAGGGGCAGGGCCCTCATGGAGAACCTTTGCTAGGGCAATGCAGAGGGAACTGTGGGGTTGGAGTCCCCACACAGAGTCCCCACTGGGGCACTATGTAGTAAACGTGTGAGAAGAGGGCCACCATCCTCCAGGCCCCAGAATGGTCAATCCAGCAACAGCTTGAACCATGTGCCTGGAAAAGCTGCAGATACTCAATGCCAGCCCATGAAAGCAGCCAGAAGGGGAGCTATACTCTGCAAAGCCACAGGGGTGGAAGTGCCCAAGGCCATGGGAGCCCAACTCTTCCATCAGTGTGCCCTGGATATGAGACATGGAATCAAAGGAGATCATTTTGGAGCTTTAAAAATTGACTGCTTATGCCTGTAATCCCAGTACTTTGGGAGGCTGAGGAGGGCGAATCATGAGGTCAGGATTTCGAGACCAGCCTGGCCAACATAATGAAACTCTGTCTCTAAAAAAAAAAAAAAAAAAAAAAAAAAATTAGTTGAGAATGGTGGCATGTGCCTGTAGTCCCAGCTATTTGGGAGGCTGAGGCAGAAGAATCACTTGAACCCAGGAGGCAGAGGTTGTGGTGAGCCGAGATCTCACCACCGCACTCCAGCCTGGGCAACAGGGCAAGACTTCATCTGAAAAAAAAAAAAAAGGATTGACTGCCCTGCTGGATTTCTGACTTATATGGGGCCTGTAACCCCCTCATTTTGGCCAAGTTTTCCCATTTGGAATAGATGTATTTACCCAATGCCTGGCCCACATTTTATCTAGGTGGTAACTAACTTGCTTCTGATTTTACAGGCTCATAGGTGGAAGGGACTTGCCTTGTCTCAGATGAGACTTTGAACTGTGGTCTTTTGAGTTAACTCTGAAATGAGTTAATACTTTGGGAGACTCTTGGGAAGCCATAATTGGTTTTGAAATGTGAGGACATGAAATGTGGGAGGGGCGAGGGTTGAGATGATATAATTTGGTTGGATTTCCAGCCAAATATTATCTTGAATTGTAGCTCCCATAATCCCCATGTATCATAGGAGGGACCCAGTGGGAGGTGATTGAATTATGGGGGCAGTCTTTCCCATGCTGTTCTCATGTTATTGAATAATTCTCACAAGATCTGATCATTTTATAAAGGGCTTTTTTTCCCTTTTGCTCTGCACTTCTCTTTACTGCCGCCATGTGAAGAAGGACACGTTTGCTTCACTTCTCTTCCCCACCATGATTGTAAGTTTCCTGAGGCCTCCCCAGCCATGAAGAACTGTGAGTCAACTGTGAGTCTTTCCTTTATAAATTAACCAGTCTCAAATACGTCTTGATTAGCCACATGAGAATGGACTAATACAATATATTAACTATATGTTTGCTGTGAGTTTTTAAGGGTATATACTATAATTCTTACAACTCAGCCATAAAACAGAATAAAATTATGGCATTCACAGCAACCTGGATGAATTTGGAGACTATAATAATAATAATTATTATTATTATTTAACTAAATGAAGTTACTCAGGAATGGAAAACCAAACATTGTATGTTCTCATTTATAAGTGGGAGCTAAGCTATGTGATTGCAAAGGCATAAGAATGATACAACGGACTTTGGGGACTAGAGGGAAGGCTGGGTGGGAAAGGATAAAAGACTACACATTGGCTACAGTATACAATGCTCAGGTGATGGGTGCACCAAATCTCAGAAATCACCACTAAAGAACTTATCCATGTAACCAAACATCACCTATTTCCCAAAAACCTATTGAAATAAAAATAATAATACTTAAGAAGGGATGTGTATTATAATTTCTACAATTACCATTAAAGAAAAAAAATACAAAGTGAAAAACAATAGATAAATTAAAACTTAATTTGACTATATATTTGATAGTTCCAAACAAGGCAGAAAAAAATAAAAATGAGTAATAACAACAACAACAACAAAATCCAGGAGGAACAAATAAAAGCAAATAGTAAAATTGTAGGCCTAAGTAGAACTATATCAATAACTAAATGTTACTTGACTAAGGACTACAATTAAAAGCCATAGATTATCAAAGTGGATTTAAGACAAAAAACAAATGAAAGAGAACCCTGTGCTCTACAAGATTTACATTAAATATTAAGAAACAAATAGGTTAGAAGTAAATGAGTGAAAAAAAGGTATTTTATGCAAACAAGAAAGAAAAGAAGCCTGGAATGGGTATATTAATGTCAAATAAGGTAGACTTCAAGACAGAGTATAATCAGAAACAAATAGGTACATTTCATAATGGTGAAGGTTTAATAAATTGGAAGAACTTAATAATAATAGAGCTTCAGACAGGTGAAGCAGCATGTCCAGTATATTTGATGTTTTGGGGATTAAAACTGCTTTATTCCTCTCTCTAGATATTTCATGCCTATTAAGATAAAACTTTGAGATATTTTGCAAACATATTGGCCTCATGCAGGTAAGATTTTAGGATTCCTTCACATTAAATATCAACCAGAAAGATAAAATATTTTTGCTAATAACCTACCTAAATCTCCAGCTGCAAAGAAATTTTAAAGAAAGGATTCAGTTACACACAAATACCTTTATACATTGAGTTTTCTAAGATGCTTTTAGCAAGTCCAATTCTTTACCCATTTGTGATAGAAAATAGAGTCTTAAAGCAGACACTTAGCTTTGTGTCCTCCTTTCTACGTGAGTCACAGTAGTTTTTAGTAGTTAGCATGGTATGCTATAACAAACCTAAGGGATTGCCCCTCCTAGGTATAGAAACAAGCTTACCACAGAAAAAATATCCCTGTAGAAAGCCATATGAAAATAGTGTTTTGAATTCAATAATATGACAGCTTTGGGGTAAGAGAAAGAACACTTGACTGACAACACTGTGAGCTTTTCTTGCTCATCTACATATGAAAAAGGTGATTTTGATGAAGGCACTAAAGATCTCCTGAGTCTCATTTCTTATATCTGTGAAAGGCAAGTGACAAAGAATGTGGTTTAAGATTTTTTCCCACCCCTGATTTTATTTATTTTATATATTTTTCTTTTTTTATTAATTTCCTTTACTTCTGGAATACATGTGCAGAACATGCAGTTTTGTAACATAGGTATAACAAGTGCCATGGTGGTTTGCTGCACCCATCAATCCATCATCTACATTAGGTATTTCTCCTAATGCTATCTCTCTCCTAGCCCCCCACATCCCAAAAGGCCCCCGTGTGTGATGTTCCCCTCCCTGTGTCCATGTGTTCTCATTCTTCAACTCCCACTTATGAGTGAGAACACGCGGTGTTTGATTTTCTGCTCCCGTGTTAGTTTGCTGAGAATGATAGTTTCCAGTTTTATCCATGTCCCTGCAAAGGACATGAACTCATCCTTTTTTATGGCTGCATAGTATTCCATGGTATATATGTGAAACATTTTCTTTATACGGTCTATCATTGATGGGCATTTGGGTTGGTTCCAAGTCTTTGCTATCATGAATAGTGCTGCCATAAACATATGTGTGCGTGTGTCTTTATAGTAGAATGATTTATAATCCTTTGGTTGTATATCCAGTAATGGGATCATTGGGTCAAATTATTTCTGGTTCTATATCCTAAAGGAATCACCACACTGTCTTCCACAATGGTTGAACTAATATACACTCCCATCAACAGTGTAAAAGCATTCTTATTTTTCCAGAACCTCTCCAGCATCTGCTGTTTCCTGACTTTTTAATGAACACCATTCTAACTGACAACAGTTTTGATTTTGTTGTTTTGATTTGCATTCCTCTAGTGACCAATGATGATGAGCTTTTTTTCATGTTTGTTGGCGCATAAATATCTTTTTTTGAGAAGTGTCTGTTTATATCTTTCTCCCACTTTTTGATGAGGTTGTTTGTCTTTTTCTTGTAAATTTAAGTTCTTTGTAGATTCTGAATATTAGTCCTTTGTCAGATAGATAGATTACAAAAATTTTCTTCCATTCTGTAGGTTGCCTGTTCATTCTGATGATAGTTTCTTTTGCTGTGCAAAAGCTCTTTAGTTTAATGAGATCCCATTTGTCAATTTTGGCTTTTGTCGTCATTGCTTTTGGTGTTTTCATCATGAAGTCTTTGTCCATGCTTATGTCCTTGATGGTACTGCCTAGGTTTCCTTTTAGGGTTTTTATGGTTTTAGGTCTTACATTTAAGTCTTAATCCATCTTGAGTTAATTTTTGTATATGGTGTAAGGAAGGGGACCAGTTTCAGTTTTCTGCATATGGCTAGCCAGTTTTCCCAACACCGTTTGTTAAATACGGAATCCTTTTCCCATTGCTTGTTTTTGTCAGGTTTATTGAAGATCAGATGGTTGTAGATGTGTGGCATTATTTATGAGGCCTCCATTCTGTTTCATTTGTCTAAATATCTGTTTTGCTACCAGTATCATGCTGTTCTGGTTACTGTAGCCTTACAGTATGGTTTGAAGTCAGGTAGCATGATGCCTCAAGCTTTGTTCATTTTGCTTAGGATTCTCTTGGATATTCAGGCTCTTTTTTGGTTTTATATAAAATTGAAAGAATTTTTTTTCTAATTCTGTAAAGAAAGTCAATGGTAGCTTGATGGGGATAGTATTGAATCTATAAATTACTTTGGACAGTATGGCTATTTTCACGATATTGATTCTTCCTATTCATGAGCATGGAACTGTTTTTATTTGTTTGTGTCTTCTCTTATTTCTTTAAACAATGGTTTTTAGTTTTCCTTGAAGAGTTAACTTGTATTCCTAGGTATTTTATTCTCTTTGTACCTATTGTGAATAGGAGTTCACTTATGATTTTGGCTCTCTGTTTGTCTATTATTGGTGTATAGGAATGCTTATAATTTTTACACATTGATTTCCTATCCTGAGACTTTGCTGAAGTTGCTTATCAGCTTAAGGAGATTTTGGGCTGAGACAATGGGGTTTTTTAAATATACAATTATGTCTTCTGCAAGCAGAGACAATTTGACTCCCTCTCTCCCTATTCGAATACCCTTTATATCTTTATCTTGCCAGATTGCCCTGGCCAGAACTTCCAATACTATGTAAATTTCCCTCTAAACATTGCTTTATCTGTGTCCCAGAAATTCTAGTATGTTGTGTGTTTGTTCTCATTGGTTTCAAAGAACTATTTCTGCTTTAGTTTTGTTATTTACCCAGTAGTCATTCAGGAGCAGGTTGTTCAGTTTCCATGTAGTGGTGTGGTTTTGAGTAAGTTTCTTAATCCTGAATTCTAATTTGATTGCACTGTGGTTTGAGACTGTTTGTTATGATTTCCATTCTTTTGCATTTGCTGAGGAGTGTTTTACTTCCAATGATGTGGTCAATTTAAGATATATAGACCAATGGAACAGAATAGAGGCCTCAGAAATAACACCACACATCTACAACCATCTGATCTTTGACAAACCTGATGAAAACAAACAATGGGGAAAGGATTCCCTATTTAATAAATGGTGTTGGGAAAACTGGCTAGCTATATGGAGAAAACTGTAACTGGACTTCTTCCTTACACCTTATACAAACATTAATTCAATATGGATTAAAGACTTAAATGTAAAACCTAAAACCATAAAACTCTTGAAGAAAACCTAGGCAATACCACTCAGGACACAGGCATGGGCAAAGACTTCATGACGAAAACACCAAAAACAATGGCAACAAGAGCCAAAATTGACAAGTGGGATCTAATTAAACTAAAGAGCTTCTGCACAGCAAAATAAACTATCATCAGAGTGAACAGGCAACCTACAGAATGGGAGAAAATTTTTGCAATCAATCCATCTGACAAAGGGCTAATATCCAGAATCTACAAAGGACTTAAACAAATTTACAAGAAAAAAACAAACAACCCCATCAAAAAATGGGCAAAGGATATGAACAGACTTTTCTCAAAAGATGACATTTATGTAACCAACAAATATATGAAAGAAAGCTCATCATCACTGGTCATTAGAGAAATGCAAAGCAAAACCACAATGAGATACCATCTCACATCAGTTAGAATGGCATTCATTAAAAAGTCAGGAAACAACAGATGCTGGAGAGGATGTGGAGAAATAGGAGTGCTTTTACACTGTTAATTTGAGTGTAAATTAGTTCAACCATTGTGGAAGACAGCATGGTAATTCCTCATGGATCTAGAACTAGAAATACCATTTGACCCAGCAATCTCATTACTGGGTATATACCCAAAGGATTATAAATCATTCTACTATAAAGACACATGCACACGTATGTTTATTGCAGTACTATTTACAACAGCAAAGACTTGGAACCAACCCAAATGCCCATCAATGATAGACTGGATAAAGAAAATGTGGTGTACACACCATGTAATACTATGCAGCCATAAAAAAGGAAGAATTAATATCTTTTGCAGGGACATGGATGAAACTGTAAACTATCATTCTCAGCAAACCAACACAGGAGCAGAAAACCAAACACTGCATGTTCTCACTCATAAGTTGGAGTGGAACCATGAGAACACATGGACACAGGGAGGGGAACATCACACACCAGGGCCTGTTGGAGGGTGGGGGGGCTAAGGGAGGGATACCATCAGGAGAAATACCTAAAATATAGATGATGAGTTGATGGGTGCAGTAAACCACTATGGAACATGTATACCTATGTAACAAACCTGCACGTTCTGCACATGTATCCCAGAACTTAATATATAATTAAAAGCAAAATGAAACCAAACTTACTCATGTAACTAAATATCACCTGTACCCCAATAACCTATGGAAAAAATAAATAAAAGATTTGTCAAGTGCTTTTTTTTGCCTTTGTTGAAATAATGATTTGTTATTGTTGTTTAATATATTAATATAGTGTTACATTGATTTGAATTTTCAAATTTTAGATCGGTTTTGTATTTTGTGGATAATTCCCCACTTGGTCATGATATATTTACTGACCTTTCTATATATTCTTGGATAGATTTACTAAAATTTTATTTGTTGTATATATGTTTATGAGGAATATTGGTCTGTAATTTGCTTTTTCACTTTTTAAAATGTTTTTGTGTGATTTAGATGTTAGTCTAATATTGGCTTATAAAATGAGCTATATTATTCTCTAATTTTTCTGGAAGAATTTGTAAAGATTTGGTATTTTCTTCTAAAAATATTTGGTAAATTTTGCCATTGAAGCTATCTGGTTCTGAAGTTTTAAGTTAACTTCAAATTCACTTATTAGGATAAATATAGAATTATTCCATTTGTCTATTGTTAGAGAGTTTTTAAAGTTTGTCTCCTCCAAGAAGTTTATCCATTTCATCGAAGTTATTGAATTCATTGTCATAGAGTTATTATTATTCTTTCTATTCTTTTATTATCTGTAGAATCTTTACTTATCTTTCTACTCTCATTTCTGATCTTGGTAACTTGCTTTTTCTTGAGCAGTTAAGCTACAGGCTATCATTTTGATTGATTTTCTTGGAACTATAGCTTTTTACTTTATTGATTTATTATATTGTTCATACTCTTTCTAAATAATTGGTATTTGCCCCTCTTTTTCTTCTTTTGGGTTTGATTTACTCTTGCTTTTCTATTTCCCTAATAAGGATGCAAACTTGTTTTAGTTGAATCTTCTTCAGTTTATTTTAAAACACACTGGTAGTACTAACAGTTTCCCTATAAATACCACTTTGTGATAAAATTTTCTATGCCATGTTTCATTCTCTTCAATACAGTTCCTAGCTTTTAAAATTTCTTCATTGGCACATAAGTTTTAGGCTGGTGCAAAAGTAATTGCGGTTTTTGCCATTGAAAGTAATGGGAAAAACCGCACTTACTTAGCACTAACCTAATAACTTATTTCTAAATATTTGAAATTTTCCAAATGTCATTCTCTTATTGATTTTTTTTCTAACTAAATTCCACTATGGCATGAGAAAATAATTTGTGTGAATTAAATCCTGTTAAATGTATTAGGCTCTGTTTTATAGCCCAGAACATGATTGATCTCGGTAAAAGTTCCATGTACATTTGATAACAACACATATTCTTCCACTGTTGTGTGAAACATTATATAAATGTTTATTAGGTCACTTTGTTTCAGTGTGTAAATCTTTTATATTCTTACTGAGATTTTTCTCTTTCTGTTCTATTAATTATTCAGTGAGAGAAGTGTTGAAATATTCTACTAAATTTATGGATTTGTATATTTCTTCTTGCTGTTTTATTAGTTTTACTTTTCTATGTTTTGAAGCTCTGTTATTGGGTGTGGAATTAAGACTGTTATATCTTCTTGAAAAATTGATTGGCTTATCATTATTTAATGACTAAAAGCAACTTTGTCTGATGTTGGTATAGTCATCATATACTAATACGTTTTTCAGTTTTCTTTTGATTAACATTAGTATGACATATCTTTTTAAAATTCATCCTTTTATTTTTGAGCTATTTTTGACTAGCATATGGTTCTTATAAAATCTATAATTCTTTTTTAGAATACTTAGATCATTTACAATTGATTATTGATTTAGTGTTTATAGCTACTCTTTGCTTTATATTTTTATTTGTTTCATCTGAATTATTTTACTTCCTCTTTTCATTTGCATTAGTGGAATATTTTTAAAGAGTCTATCTTCTTCGTTGGCTTTTAGTGATTACTTTTTATTGTTTTCTGGTTTGCATTAGAACTTATAGTGTACGTCTTTAACTTATCCTAGTATACTCTCAAGATATAAAATCTTTACAACTGTAGACTTATTTCTCCTTTGTATTTGCACTGTATAGTTGTAATTTTACTTTCACATTTGTTATAAACACCATAATGTATTGTTATTTTTATGTTATATGTGTCACTTATATTTTAAAAGAATATTAAAAATAAAAAACTTTAAAATTTACTTGTATTTTTATAATTTATTGTTTTCTTCATTCCTTTACTCAAATGCAGATTTTTAGCTGCTATCATTTTCCTTCTGCTTAAAAGGCTTCCTTTAATATTTATTGCAATAAAGGTCTGTAGGGTTTTATGTGAGAAGTCTACTATTCTTTGCATTCTTGTTCTCTACATGTAAGATTTGTACTTTCTCTGGATGCCTTAAAGATTTTCTCTTCATTATTGATTTTCAGTAATTTTATTATGATGTCCCTTTTCTTCCTGTTTCTTGTGCTTGGGTTTTGTTGAGCTTCTTGAAATTAGTTTTCATCAAATTAGAAAACAAAATGGCTACTATTTCTTCAAATATTTTTCTCCTTCCCTCTCTCAAATATACGTATCCCACAGTTCATTAATGTTCTATTCATAATTTGTTCAGTCTTTTTCCTCTCTCTTTATTTCTTTGACCAGTTTCTATTGCTATGTCTTTAGATAATATTTTCTTCTGCTGTGTCCAAGGTGCTGTTAGTAAAAAACTGCATATTTTTAACAGAATTGTATTTTTTTGTCTCAAAAATTTAATTTGGACCTTTTTAATATTGCATATATATATATCTCTTTAATATGTTTACTCTTTCATATTATTTCAAAACATATGAAACATCATTGTAACTCTTCTAATGTGACTGACTAGAAATTCTATCATCTATGTCATTTTAACATTTGTTTCTCTTTGTGTTTTCTCATTATTATTAAGAAAAATCTTTTCTTGCTCCTTTACATGGCTTGATAACTTTTAGTTGGATGTCAGATCTTGTGAATTTCATATTGTTATTTGCTAGATATTTTTGAATTTCTGTAAATATTCTTGAGTTGTATTCTGAGATACAGTTAAAGTTGCTTGGGAATAGTTTGATCAAATGTAGTCCTTAAAGCTTTCCCAGAAGGGTCCAAAACAGCCTTTATATAGGACTAATTTCCCTCCAGTAGTGAGGCAGTATTTTTCAGAGGACTGTAACTGATGCCCCTAGATCTGTGAGGTTTTCCATTATGCTTACAGGAACAAAAACTATTTCTTGCCCTGTGTGAGCTCAAAGAACAGCTTTCATGTGGTTATTTTCCCAGGCTTAGGTTGTTTCCTCACATGCCCTCACTAATTAATCAATACCCAGTCAAGAAGTCTAACCCCTTCCCCCCAGCTGCATTTCTCCAGCTTTCTCCCTCTCTCTTCTCTGGCACTCTGTTCTAGGAACTCTAGCTGTCTGGAACTCCTTGGACTCCCAGCTTCATCTCCACAAATTATGGAGGCTGTTGGGCTCCAGTTGAGTTCTTGTACCTTCACACTATCTGTAAATTCTTTCCAGGCAGTGAGCTGGTGTTAAAAAAGGATTATTCATGACAGTTGTTAAAGAATGGTAAAAGTGACTTTATTCCAGGGGTTATTGCTGTAGGAATAGGGACCACCAAAATGAGGTTTTGCAGAAGGAGACAGAGATGGTTCTTGTCAATCAAAAAACAAACAGAGAGAGACCCTCTAAAAGAAATTTACTTGGGAATAAGGCATGCCAATGGGAATACATAAGCCATAGTAAGCTATGTGCAAATTCAGGGAGGTAAAGGAAGACAAAGGTTTTAAAAGAAAAAAATGAGAAGGATTATACAATTGTTTGGAAATAATTACCATAGACAACGATGATCAAGAACATGGGTGGTGCCAGTTCAACGCTGGACAGGCAGCTGTGGGGCAGATGTTCTTGAAAAAGTATTTTTTGTGTAAGGTTGTGATGTACAAGGTTGTGGTTTCTGTAGTTATTTTTGGATGTTGTAATTGGCATGTAAGTGTGTGAACCCTCTCTTCATAGCCTTCTTAGCTCTATTTGTCAGGGTTGTCTTAACATTAGTGACTCTATTTTGATTCTGACAACTTTCATGTTCTCAGCTGTAAATATAACAAAAGGTGAATTTATAGCTAAGGAGCAGGGTAGGATTCAGTGGATGGAAAATACTAAGAGGAAATTCCAGGAGTAAGGGAGGATTCTGGCTAAATAAACCTAACAGAATTCTTGCTGAAGGCAGGCCAAGGTGATCAGACATCACCTTAGGGCTGGTGGAGGGTGAGGAACTTGATCAGATATGTATTGAAAATGTAGGATTCTGGCTACCCTGTCTTAGCAAGATTTTTGCTAAAATTGGACAATGCACATTCGTGGAAGCCCAAAAGTCAGGGTCTAGTTGAGAGGGGAGTTTAGAGGAGCTGATTAAAGTTTGGTCAAGAAGAGAATCTTTGTCACTGGGAAACCATAGGGCTCTTAGTTTCTGCTCTCTCAGAAAATACTTCCATGCACTACTGGATGTCCAAAACAGGAGACCATTGTTTTGTATTTTTCATCTTGTTTTTCAGTTATTTCAGAGCAAGAGTAAAATCTTGTTTTGTTATTCCATCTTGGATGGGAGACTAAGTTCTTGCTTTATTTATTGTATGTTCATCATAACTAAGAAAGAAACTGTATTATGGCTTACAATTGAACAAATTCTTAAAATTGAAAAAAACATTTTTATGCTAGTTTTTAAAAACTAAAGCTAATGAGAAGTGTTCTATGCCAATTATTTAAGAAACGTTTCTATCCACATCATAACCATCGGGAAACAAAAGAAGACTTAATAAAACTTTCACTTCAAAGCAAAAAACATACTCAGCAGGTATAATTTTATGTGACTATGATGAAGTTCTAAGTAGATTGGATATAATTTTAAGTAGTATTCCCAATAAGAAGGTTTGTAATTAATTTGCTAATTATTAATTCTTTAGTTTTTCTTTACCTTTACCTTCACATGAACAATTTAATATAGGGGATCAATATATAATTCAGAAACTGCTATACTACTTCTAAGCAAGCCTGATGGGGTAAGTGGTGATAAAAACTGAAAGGTCAAGGTATGTGTGAGAAAAATTCCCCACTTTGCATAAGCTATTGCTTACCTGAATCTATAAATACGGTCCTTAAGCTTATGCAAGTGTTGTGATCATGGCTTAAAAAACAACCTTGAAAAGCCTGGGCTGACGTTTTAAAAAATAAATTGTATTTGTAAATTCTGGTCAAAGCTTTAGTAATAATTACTATACTACATGCATTATTTTATTGGTTATAATATGGGTCATATGCAGAAACTATCAAACTTTTCTTTTTCTGTATATTACTTTCTTGATCTCAATAAAACATTTTCTTTTTTTTATATTTAGAGAAAATGTCAATATTACATTTCATTAGTTTGAAAGGGCATTTTTGTCTGTATCTATATAAACCTTTTTGAACAATTAAATCAGAAAACATTTTTTGTGGAACAGTTATCAAAATTTAATAACTTTTATTACTACTTAGAAGGCATACTTTGCCTAGATTTTTCTTTCCTTTTTGTTTTAAAACTTGTATCCAAACTTTCCTTTTTAATGTTTTGTGATGCCTTTAAAAAAGAGGTTTATACCAGCAATCCCATTACTGGGTACATACCCAAAGGATTATAAATCATTCTACTATAAAGACACATGCACACGTATGTTTATTGCAGCACTATTTACAATAGCAAAGACTTGGAATCAACCCAAAGGACCATCAACGATAGACTGGATAAAGAAAATGTGGCACATATACACCATGGAATATTATGCAGCCACAAAAAAGAATGAGTTCATGTCCTTTGCAGGGACATGGATGAAACTGAAAACCATCATTCTCAGCAAACTAACACAGGAGCAGAAAACCAAATACCGCATGTTCTCACTCATAAGTTAGAGTTGAACATGAGATCACATGGACACAGGAAGGGGAACATTACACACTGGGGCCTGTCGGGGTGGAGGGCAAGGGGAGGGAAAGCATTAGGACAAATAGGTAATGCATGTGGGGCTTAAAACCTAGATGATGGGTTGATGGGTGCAGCAAATCACCATGGCACATGTAAACCTATGTACCAAACCTGCACATTCTGCACATGTATCCCAGAACTTAAAGTAAAATAATAATAAAAAAGAGGTTTGTAGTAGAAACTTTGGGATTCTCCTAGCAGCCACTTTCCTCTTCACTTTCTTAAGGATATGATCTTTTTAATGTATTTTTAAAAGTTATAATTGATCCATAATAATTTTACATATTTCCTCTTCACTTTCTTAATAAGACAGAGCAAATGAATCAGTGACAGTTCCACGTCTTGATAGAGGTGAAGAGCACACAAGATACTGCTAGAATACTGAGAAAGACTTGCTTCCTACTTTGCTGAAGTCTTAGGAAAAGAAGTTCTTTATTTACTAGATTAGTGATTCTCAATCTTTAGCATGTGTTAGAATCACGATTACCCAGAAGGCCTACTAAATAAAACACAAATTATGAGGTACCACCCCCAGCTGGGTGGAGCCTGAGTTATTACATTTGTAATAAATTATGTTATTGATTTTGATGCTAATGATCCCAGTACCACATTTTGAGAGCTGCTTATCGGATCAGTGGTTCTCAACTCTGTCAGCGCTTTTGAGATACCGGGGGAGTTTATGAGCACAGGCAGTTCCTGCTTTGCACAGTAGCGCGTGATTGTAGAAATGACAATACAATCTGAAATTATGCAAAGTGATCTTAATTATCAATCATTAAGAAAATTCAAATTATTCCTTGATTTTTTGGCAAATTATTAAAAACTATCTTGCTGTCTCATTAATGTTGTGAAATTTTAAAGTAACCTAATATTTATTTAGCAATGAAAACATCACAAACATTGAGAAATATGTTTACTTTTTTGTAGAAAACTTATATAAAGAAATTTAAACAGTGCTTGCCTTCTTGTATCACTTATGATACTAAATGAGCACTTCTTCTATGCTTTTGCAAATTACCACACTCCTTTCCGAGTTTAGGTCAGCTTCCAACATTTTATCCTTTGTGCTTTCAATGCCATGAGATATCTCAGATTTCCTTTAATGCAAAACTTCTTGCCCATGTCACTTCCTCTGAAGCATCTTTATTCTTTTCTTCCCAACCACCTTCCTCATTCATGCTGATAAGTTCACCTTCACTATATTTGTCTCTTCCACATCTAGGATCTATCAAACAGCAGCAGTGTCAACACCTTCCCACAGTCAGCTATTCCATTTACACTGAATTTTCATTTCACTCCCAGAATTATCATTTTTATTTCTTTGCTGCCCTTTTAACTTGGTTGGCCAATTTCCTTTTCTGATTACCCATGTTATAATATGTTACATGGGTTTATCACTGAGAGACACACTTTCATGTGAGTGAACTGATGAACAGATGTGCAGTGATGAGTCACAAGCATGCTTTAGAAAAAGTGGTGTGATTGATCACTGACCCCATGAGTACCTGTTTTTTTATGTAGAAATTTGTGGACTGAAGAACTGACAGTAAAATTTGCACTTTATACAATTCCTCACAATTAATATGCCATCACAACTGAAATTTCAGCAGTGTTGTTGGGGAATAGGTGTTATTTAACTAAGCCATAATAACTGAAAGCTGGATACAGAAACCATGTAAAGGAAGGACTGCCTTTAATAGCACTACGTGGTCCCCATCTCAGACCAATACACTTAGAATCTCTGAGACAGGATTCAGGCCATGATATTATTTCACAATCTCCCTCAAGTCATACTAATATGCAAGCTCTAGAACAGTGCTTCTCAAAATTTAGTGCTTGTAGAAATCATTTGGAGGACGTAGGCAGATTCTTAGGCCCCATCCCATGGATACAGTTTGAGTAGTTGGATATAATGACAGTATAACGTCTGCGTGGGAAGCCAACAGCTGTGGCAACTACTTTTGTTACCATATAGAAAGCCACTGGAGCACATATTTGGCATATGAAGGAGAGCAGGACTAGGAGAATTACTGTGAACTCAAGATGGAAATCTTACAAGTTAATGAACCTCAGAATTAAACTACAGCTAAGTTCTCCTTTCCTAGGAATGTTCAGTTACGTAAACCAATAAATTGTTTTTAAAGCAGTTTTCAGTTAGATCTTGATATTGATAATGCCAAGAATTCAACCTCACAAAAGATTGAATTATTGTGTAAAATTTTCTTTTATTTCATCAGTTTGGTTATTTTTTCATTATATATTTAAGAAATGGGCAAAGTAAGAAATCTTTGGGTGTTTTCAGGAGAGGCACAAGTAGGAACTGAGACGACTTCATTCTGTTTTTGAATAATAAAGCCCCTCTCAAGTTAGGCTTTCATATTTTAAGAGGTGATTTTCAATATCATGTGTAAAAAATTTATCCAGACATTTGTTAAGTGATACCACTTGATATATGATTAATTTTGAATGGAAGTAACTTTATTTTTTGTCTATGAGGTTGATATCAACCCTTTTATTAGTGAAAAATTCTGATGAGTATATTAGTCTAATTTATTATACTTCGCAAACAACTGACTTAGCAAATAACTGGAAAGCTCAATTATTTGCTCTTCCCATTTCATCTAATTATGTATTGCCAATAAATTTAATAAAAACTCTTCATTTAATAAGCTTTCTCATAATTAAACACACATTAAATTTTTACTCAATTTTCTTTCCATTGCCCAGTCTATTAGTTTGGTAAGACCTGCCGTAACAGTGCCACAGACTGGGCGTGGTTTAAACACAACAAATTTATTTTCTCACAATTCTGGAGTCTAGAAGTCTGAGATCAAGGTGTCTGCAGGTTTGGTTTCTCCTGAGGCCTTTCTTGCCACAAAGATGCCTGTCTTCTCCCTGTTTCACATGGTCTTTTCTCCACGTGTCTGTGCCCTAATCTCCTTCTTACAAGAACATGGTCATATTGGGTTAGGGTCCACCCTAATAACTGCATTTTAACTTCATTGCCTCTTTAAAGATCTTATCTCCAAATGAAGTTATATTCTGAGGTTCTGAGAGTTGGGATGTCAACATTTGAATTTGGGAGGGGGGCATAATTAAGCCCACAATACCTAGGCAATTTTAATCACCTCATTGATCAGTTTAGGTTCTATTTTCTGACTCCTTCTTTTCCTTCTTTCTCTCCATCTGTCTCCTTCTTCTTTTCTTTTTTATTCTTTGTACTATAAATTGTCTTCAATTTTTATGCTTCCTTTTTAGTAACTGGAAATGGATGTTAGGTAAGATAATTTAAGGCCTGGTGATGAGGGCTGTGCTACACAAATTACAAGAACATATATTTCTTCACGAATGGTACTGTGCTTGCTGAGGTCTCAGTAAAGGGTAAAAATGTGTCAAAGCATATAATCAAACCTCCAAAAACCATTTTCTTTTTCCTAAGAGGAATGATAAATTACCTGTTCATAATTTAAAGGTAAATTTATACCAAGCCTTGCTACAAAGTTTCCAAAGGTGATGTGGGAATGAACGGCTTGACTTTGGCTGAATGTGAAACTTGTGAGTAATATAGTAAGGTGTGCTTGTGGTGGACATAAAATGACTTATGTCTGTTCTTGGCAAATAAGCATTTCCTGTGCTTGGTGCTTTATTTCACCTTCAAAATAAAGTTCTTGAAAATATAGCTATATTATGCCACTAAATGATAACTTGGACTGAGTTTGCCAGATGACATTATTAAAAGCTTAAAGTCAGTTAACTCTGTATGAATGATCTGCAAGGTAATGCATATTAGATGAACTTATTGTTTATATATACATTGAAATTCATCATAAGAATACTGCTGACAGTTATTCTCCCATAATGAAAAATTACCTTTAAGACAATAGGAAGCCCTTGTAATTCTCCTATTTTATTGAAATGTAAGAGAACAACTTTTGATGTACATGTTTTGCATTTTGAACAAATGTGTTCACATGTTTAAACATTTCTTTCTTGGAGAGGATTTCTGACTTGTTTTTCTAACTTTATTGTAATTTCTTTTTTTCTTCTTTTTTTTCTCTTTTTTATCACAAAAATTTGTATTTCTTTCCTCTGATTCTTGCAGTATCAAAACTAAAATATTGTGTTCTGTATATTCTCTGATATTAACACCTTAGTAATAAGCAGGCAGTATATTTGAAAAGGTAATATTTCAAAAGAGTTTGTAACTTTTTGAAAGAATTATAGTTTATTTGGTACCATATGGTCTCTGGAGTCATTGTTTACAAATATTTTTATGTTTGATTTTATTTTTATTTTTTAAAGTTTTGTTTTAATTTAATTGGCAATTTAATAATTGTAAATATTTATAGGATATGATGTGATGTTTCAATGCATGGATACATTTTGTAATGATCAAATATTTTAAAAAGCAGAACTCATGTAACTCCAAAATGTAAAATAATAAAAAGGCATTTGCTATTGGTGAAGCAGGATAGGAGGTCCTTTTGATGCCAGAGAAGCTCTGATAAACCTTGGGCTTCGGTGACATGAGTTTTAGGCCATTAGTCTGAGTGTCACATGCCCCAGAATATTTTTTCTCAGGATTCCTTGCAGTACTTGCTTTATGGAAGACCTAATCTCTTGCTAGGATTCTTACATAAAATTATGCATAATACTGATGCATATAAAATACAAATAATAAACATAACAAATAAATGTTACATATTATACCTAAAAGTCTCACCAAATATTGATGTTACTGGATGAAAATTCACAGGTGCACAGGAAAAAACCAAAGCCAAGGTGAAGAATTTTTTGGTTAGGTGTGGCATCAGAACACCCATTGTGTCCCTGTTCTGATGAAACTGCCTGTTTTCCACCTAACTTCTGCTTTTGTTCAAATTTAACCCTAGTGGATGCCATTTCTATTAATCCTTTAACTATTATTGCTTTACATCCTATTGTAATTGTCCTTATAGCCGTATTAATGCTCTGTTTTCTTTCTGAATGTCCCTATTCATGTTACCATCTATGAACAGAACTTGCCCATTCTCCCCCTGGTAATTCATTGAGCTATTCTTCTGACATTCTCATTCATCCCTTTAATAGCAGCTGCTGCTAATCTTGTCTACTCCTTATTTCATGGCGGTTCACACAGATCTTACACTTGACAAAACCAAAGGGAAAAATAAGCCAAGTTATAATTTATTCTAATCAACAGATATTTCCCTTAAAATACTATTGACTTAAAATTTACCAGATAATACAGCAGCTTAGACTTTTGTTAAAATCTTTCCATTTGAATATTTTGAGTTATAGTCAAGTAAATCATGATTCATCTCTATTAGCCTTATTTGTAATGAGAGTTGTGGCAGAATCTTTTAAGAAAGGACAGGCAGCATTTACTCTGATGAACATAGAGGCTATTTTCCTCTTCTATCCAATAATTCTCAGAGTACATGTTTTTTTTTCAAAATATAGTTTAAGCTGCCAATAGTTTAGTCAGTTGGCAGCTTAGTTGATGTAAAAGATTATGTTATTCAGATATAAAAATCTATATAGAGCCAGTAACTAGAAATACATATAATGTTTCAGAGTATTTATTTGTCAGTACACTGAGAGCCAGTGCTTGAAAATCTTTGTGTGGGAAAAAAAGAATATAGAACTAACTTCCAACAACTTAGAGGTAAATCATTAAACAGTGGTAATTACATTGTTAGAAAAAGAAACCACTTTATTTTAACAACGAGACCCAGAGAAAGAATAAGTGACTCAACTAAGGTTAAATGGCCAGGTCACAGCCAACCCAGGGTGGAAATTTTGTCTTCATATACTAGAGTAATATTCTTTCCATATATTAAGAATTAAAGATTTAATTAATATAAACTACTCACAAGAGATAACTGTGGCAAATTTTATGTATGCCAGATCTCTGACCTCTCTACAAGTGGTTATTGTCTTCATTTTAATGCTGAGAACTCTGAATCTTGGTGACATTTAAGTTGCTCAAGTTCACCCAGATGGAAAGTGACTAAGCAGGGTTTTGGATGGTGCTTGTAACACATCCAATCTCTGGATCATCTCTACAGTGCAATATAGTTTCTAGTCTCTGAGATAAAGGAAATACTACTGAGTTTACATTCTAAACATACTGTTAAAACAATCATGATAAGCTGAATTTATTAAAGGTCTGCTACTACAACTGTTCAGGGAAGCCAGCTTTTAAGCTGTGAACCACTGCTCCCTGCTTCTGTGACCAGGATCCTAGGGATGTAATTGATTTAGATGAACTTTTGGGTTTATGTTTCCTTGTCAATAAAATATTGAATTAGGGGCTATATAGAGTTAAAATTAAATGGCTGACCATTGCCACTGTGTGATTACTACTAGAAGCTGCAAACAGTTCAGATTAACTCTACTTTATGAGTCGAATATCTGACTCTTCCTTACTGTAGTTCAGCTCTTGTATATTTAGTAGAGATGGGGTTTCATTATGTTGGTCAGGCTGGCCTCAAACTCCTGGCCTCAAGTGATCTGCCCACCTCGGCCTCCCGAAGTGCAGGGATTACAGACGTGAGCCACCATGCCCGGCCTATTTTATATCTTTAAACATCATTGGAATTACAACCAAGAGTTAAACAGTTTGCACCAGACTAGTTCCAATTATCTAGAGATCATCAGCAGTGATACCAACCAGAAGTTGGCACAGGGCAGAGACAAACAGATGCTGAGTGAGAAGGTTTGAGTCAAGTTTCTGGGTCCACCACTCAGTGTTGCATAACCTTAAACTTTTCAATTCTTGCATGTATGTAAATGGGGACAATCATTTTGTCTGTCCCATAACATTGCAAAAACAAATGGAATCATGTATTTTATAACATGATAATAAATGGAAGGAATTGTTATTAATTCCTACACTCCATTATGATATAATGTAGTCATTTGAAGCAGAAATTTACCAAATAACAATTCATATAAGCACAGCTTTCAGACAACCAGATTTGTAATTTGTTATAAGGAAAATCTGACACTTTAATGTGTCCTAGAAAAATAAAGAGAATAGAAAGCTCACCAGATGCCAAATATCTGTAACAAAGTTGCCTCTTGATAAATATTATAACAAAATAGTAAATAATTAATTTAGAGCAGAGACAATAGGAAAAGTAATTATCAAACTTGCGGGAAGGTAAATACAATACAAAGGAACTAACAAAAATAAATTGAGAATATTTGCAACGAGTCAGTCAATCCAAATTTTTAAAAATGTAAAAACTTGCCTATTAACTAGCATGAAGACTGCAGTCCTCTCTGTGACCATAGGATTTAAAATATCCCAATTTGCTAAACCTGAGGTTGGTCTCACTTTAGAATAATTTATGGAGATACCTGAATCTCATTGGAGAGAGGCGTAAGTTGGAAACTTTGGATGAAAGAATTAAAATTCTTTTTTCTGTTACTTTTGCACTTTAATGCATTTTAAAGTGTACAGTTAAGGGAAAATATACTAATAACATTAAGGTTGAAAATTGAATACAGCCTGATAGCTTCAATCATATGTTGTTAAAATGATGAAAGAAAACTGACACCTCACTGCATTCAAGGCAGTTATTGCATTGCCTGAGTTGTGTAGAAACCATTCAAATTCTCCATTTACTATGCAATTTTATTAATAATATATTTTCATTCCTTCCTCAAATTCTGATTTGTTGGGTATCATATTTCACCTCCACATCACTCAGCATGCACTATTTTTCTACCCAATATTCTTTTCTACAATTAATCCTCATGTTCAGTTTTTAAAACTTAAAAAAAAATCACTTTTCACCTTTTCTTCTAGATAGGATTTGCAGCGAACTATTTCAGTAGTCAACTGTTATGAAAAGGCTACGTGAATTGCCTTCAAACATCAGGTACATACATAACAGGTGGGAGTTTATTAAAATGCAGATTTCTGTTCCTAGTCCTAAAGATCATTACATAATTGGAGCTCATGAATCTGTTATTTTAACCAGAGGCAAGTGATCTCTAGATACATGGAGCAACGATGAACTTGATATATGTGAACATAGGTGAGAGGAATTTAGGATGTGGTAGCTCTGAGAAATTTTAAAACTTTTCTAAAGGGAAAGAGAAAAGGATTAATATTTATTGCACATACACAGTCATTGTGCTAAGTGCTTTATACATGATGTCTCAATTAATCTTAACAACATCTGAGGGGTGGACATTATCATCACAGTTTTAGTTTTAGTATCATAAGTTGTAAAATAATGAAGCTGGATATACAATTAATCTTTTAGCATTAATGCCCACTGGGATTCTGCATGTTATTATAATTCATTACAAATTTTCATATTTAAAAAAACTGACAAACAATATTAAGATATCAATATATAAATCTGTGAATGTTTAGTGTAATGAAGGCAAGGATAAAAACACAACTTTAATTGGAAATACTTCCTAAAAGATATTATTAATTAAATCCAAAAATCTAGTAAGATGAATTAGTGAAGGGCACATTGTTTTAGTCACTGGGGAGTTGGGGGAGGACAAATAAAGAACAGTAGACTCATTTAATAATTTCCTAATTTTGCACAAGAGTGTTTCCTATCCTCCAAAAATAAAGGGGATAAGACATATATAAGTAGTTGAAATTGGTTGGGATTATGAAAGGGAAATTCTTAAATCACAATTACAATTCAGAGACTGGGTACTTAAAAATAAATAAGTACATTTATTTTACATTATTGGCAATTAGCACTATATTTGACATTTAGACAGAATAATACCGTGTGTATGTGTGTGAGTGTGTGTGTGTGTGTGTGTGTGTGTGTGTGTGTGATGAAAGACAGGACAAAGACAAAACTATATTTAAGGAGTGGGAAAATTTTGATGTTTATACGAACCTCAAGATCAGCTCTGCTTTTCTTATTGATCTTAACTATTTTACCCAGTGTTGCTCAATGAACCTCATCCTAGGCTCTCACACCCTGAGTGTCTGAACAATTCCTCTTGTTTGTCAACATAATCGAGCCCAATTTCTTTGCAAACCTAAGGTCTAGCTCCCGCAGATTCTCTCCATTCTTTACCCTAGCTTAGGCTTTCAGGTCTTTTCCAGAGCTCTGATCTGTGGTGACATGCTGTCCCATAAGTATATGAATAATTCTGAAATTCAGCTTCTGAAAGTCTCCTTCCAGAATTAATCCAAGAAAGTGGCTTCCTCCCATAGCTTGCATGTTTGGGTAGGCCACACCCATGACTATTCAACTTAAAGACCATTTCAATTATATTCTTGGCTTTACCCTCCTTTCTTAATTCAGAGTGAAAATAAAACTCATAAATAAAATAAAACTTCAAAGGGATAGCCATACTTTGAGTATAATCTGACAGTTTTAATTTTTCAGACAATTAAGGATGTGAGTAGAAAACTAGTGACTTGATTTTATTAGTTACTAAGAGTTCAGAAAATGTCAGTGTTTTAATTTCCAGAATAATTAGCAACTACATGTAAAATTTGCATCTCTGTACTGATGTATTTTAATTGCACTGGACTGTTACACATTTAAAAGTGTAGAATTTATAAAACAGTATACAATGGCATATTTGCTTTTTAGTCAAATAAATATACAGGCATACTTTTTCTTATTCAATTATTTTTTTTCAACCTATAATATGTAATATATACACAGTAATATATATGGTAATATATATTGCATATATATTGTAATTATACTATACAGTGTTATGTATAGTAATGACAGTGTGCTTTGTGGAACGCATGTGATCCAGCTTCTATTCAATTATGCATCAGTCATTCAAGAAAAATAGAGGTCATTCTGGGTATTTTAAGCAGGAAGAGTCTTAATACAGAGAATTAAAGGCTTAAAATAAGGTATACGACTGGAAGGCTGGAGAAAGCTGCTGTTAGGGAATTCAGAAATGGAGACATCACAGCACAAGGACACCCCTCCAATAAGGTTAGCAATCTGCAGCACAGAAGTGAGGAACCTCTCCAGAAGAGGTCCAGATATCTGGTAGCACAAGAAGTGACTGTCCAAGATCTCACCTAGCAGCAACAGTGAAAGCAAAGGTAAAATTCTATGTCCAACAGCTGTCGTCAGAGACGAATAGATTCTCCATTTTTGCTTTCTGAATCCAGCATGAACAACCCTTGGTGCTATCATCTGTGGAGAAATTGACTAGAAAGGAGAATTTTTTTTTGAAGTTTAGGGATTATAATTAGTATAAATAAACCACATCTGAAACAATAAAACAATGATAAGTAATCATTCACATTTTGGGTGAAAATTTTTAGTAATGAATGACCAATTCTAAAATTCTCAAAAAAAATTTATTTTTCATTTTTTTTGTAGCTCTAATTGCTAGATTTACCTGAGTTTGAATGAAACTGAACTTTCCTTTAACTTGTGTTCTTTCTTTTTGTCTGCTCTCTGGCATGGAAGATGCATCATTAGCCTTCCTTATTCACAGGAGGAGGCTAAATATTCTGAGTCCTTTATAATTTTCTCACATCAAGTGGATTTAAACTGCAATGTATCTCAATATTTTGAGTTCCCACTGCGGAATGTACCTTTGTTTTTATTAACTTATTTACTTTTTGAGATACTCTATGAAAATCCTAGAAGAAAACTTAGGAAATACCATTCTTGATATTGATCTTGGGAAAGACTTTATGACTAAGTCATCCAAAGCAATTGCAACAAAAACAAAAATTAACAAGTGGGACCTAGTTAAACTAAAGAGCTTCTGCACAGCAAAGAAAACTGTCAAAAGAGAAAATAGACAACCTACAGTATGGGAAAAAATATTTGCAAAGTATGCATCTGACAAAGATATAATATCTAGAAACTATAAGGAATTTAAATAACTCAACAAGCAAAATTCGAATAACCCCATAAAAAATAGAAAAAAAAAGAACAGACACTTTTCAAAAGAAGACTTCTCAAAAGCAAACAAACATGAAAACATGCTCCACATCATGAATCATCAGAGAAATGCAAATCAAAACTTCAATGAGATACCATCTCACACCAGTCAGAATGGTGATTGTTAAAAAGTCAAAAAGCAACAGGTGCTGGTGAGGCTGCAGAGAAAAGGGAACACTTATACACTGTTGATGGAGATGTAAATTAGTTCAGCTTCTGTGGAAAGCACTTTGGAGATTTTTCAAAGAACTTCAAACAGACCTATCATTCAACGCAGCATTCCCATTACTGAGTATATATCCAAAAGAACACAAATCTTTCCACCAAAATGACATAGGCATTCACATGTTCATCACAGCACTATTCACAATTGCCAAACCATGGAATCAGCCTAGGTATTCATCAGTGATGGATTGGATAAAGAAAATGTAGTACATATACACCATGGAATATTATGCAGCCATAAAAGAGAATAAAATCATGTCTTTGTGCAACATTGATGCAGCTGGAGGCCATTATCCTAAGCAAATTAATGCAGGAACTGAAAACCAAATACTGCATGTTCTCACTTATCAGTGGGAGCTAAACGTTGGGTACTCATGAACATAAAGATGGCAAAATTAGACCCTGAGACTTACTAGAGCAGGGATGAGGCGTCAAAGGTGGATAAACTATCAGTTGGGTACTATGCTCAGTACCTAGGTGACTGGATCATTCATACTGCAAACCCCAGCATCATGCAGTATGCCCTGTTAACAAACTTGCATATGTACACCCTGAATCTAAAATAGAAGTTGAAAAAAAAAGGCCAGGCGCGGTGGCTCACGCCTGTAATCCCAGCACTTTGGGAGGCCGAGGCGGGCGGATCACGAAGTCAGCAGATCGAGACCATCCCGGCTAAAACGGTGAAACCCCGTCTCTACTAAAAATACAAAAAATTAGCCGGGCGTAGTGGCGGGCGCCTGTAGTCCCAGCTACTTGGGAGGCTGAGGCAGGAGAATGGCGTGAACCCGGGAGGCGGAGCTTGCAGTGAGCCGAGATCCCGCCACTGCACTCCAGCCTGGGCGACAGAGCGAGATTCCGTCTCAAAAAAAATAAATAAATAAATAAATAAAAATAAAAGTTACATTACATAAAAACACTACAAACCAAGTTTTATTACTCTAATAGCTACAACTATTTCTTTTACCATTATTCCTTAATTTATTTTAGCATACTCTTTCATTGAGTATTGAGCTATTTCTAATTTTTGTACTATTTTAAATAATGTTAAAGAATTTGACATGACACATTTTTAAATCAGGTTTGTTTCTTCAAGATTAACACCTAAAAGTGAAATTACTAGGTTAGAAGAAGTAAACTTTTCTTAGAATTAAAAAATAATAAAAATAGCCAGATGCGGTGGCTCACGCCTGTAATCCCAACACTCTGGGAGGCGGGGCAGGTGGAACATCTGAGATCAGGAGTTAGAGGCCAGCCTGGCCAACGTGATGAAACCCTGTGCCTACTAAAAATACAAAATATTAGCCAAGCGTGGTGGGATGCACCTGTAATCCCAGCTACTCTGGAGGCTGAGGCAAGAGAATCGCTTGAATCCGGCAGACAGAGGTTGCAGTGAGTCGAGATCGTGCCACTGCATTCCAGCCTGGGCAACAAGAGTGAAACTCTGTCTCAAACAAACAAACAAGCAAATATTATAATAAAAATAAAATGACAGAAGACAATTCTTTCTTGAACAGTTATGAAATGTGTAGCTATCTTATGTGCATTATTTATTTAAACTCTCAGTAGATTATCAGGGTGGATAATATTATTCCCCTTTTTAAATAGATAAAGTGAGGCTCAGGTTGGTTAAGTGACTTTCCCAAACTCATGCAACTAATTTGTGTCAGAGTCCCAGATATGAACATTACTCTATCTGCAACAAAATCTTTTTCTTTTTTCTTAAGAAATGCAAGATGGAAGGGAGTATCTCCAATTTGACTTTTATCATATCCATTTATTATAATCACAAAAGAGTACATTTCACCCAAATTAACGTAGCTCCTTCTTCCTGGAAATTTTGTGCCTAAGCCCTGGCATATCAAAACAGTAAAAAAGGAGTTGTTATTTTTTAAAACTACAGTTGCCAAGAGAAATATTTCTAGCTTTTCTGCTAAGTTACTGAATGATCTTAGAGACAGCAGAATATTCATGGTGACAAATCATGCTTTACAAACTTAATAGGAGAAAAGCAATAGAAAAAAGAAATTAAACACTGATTTTCTGAATTAAGCACTTTTCGTTGTTGCTGTTGTTTTTGTTTATTTTTTGAGATGGAGTCTCACTCTGTCACACAGGCTGGAGTTCAATGGCTTGATCTTGGCTCACTGCAACCACAGCCTCCCAGGTTCAAGCTATTCTCCTGCCTCAGCCTTCTGAGTAGCTGGGACTACAGGCTGGCACCACTATGCCCAGCTAAGTTTTGTATTTTTAGTAGAGACAGGGTTTCACCATGTTGGCCAAGCTGGTCTGGAACTCCTGACCTCAGGTGATCAATCCACCTTGGCCTCCAAAAATGGTGGGATTACAGGCACGAGCCACTGCACTCAGCCTACAGCACTGTACTTTTTGAGTCATTTTTTTTTCCTCTAAAATCCCAAAAGGTCAGCTAAGGTTTTGTAAAGTTATGTAACTTTCCAACTGGCTAACAAGTCAGTGATGAGGTCAGTATTCAAACCTATCATTCCAATTTCAAAGGTGATGCTCTTTGATTCTTGGTTAGCATGTATGCAATACTGTAATTCAAAGTTTATGATTAGCAGTGATTGAATAAAGTTGATAAACTGATATTTATTTATTAAGTGCTTACTGTATGCCAGAACATGTTTAGTGTTTTATCTGGATTAGCATAATCCTCACAATAGTCTTTTGATATAAGTTTTCTTATTATCCCATTTTACAGATTTGGGGTCTCAGGTTGCAGGGAGATAAATAAAGATGTAGCAAGTAGAATAATCCTTGTTCAAATTCCAAATTTACCTCCAATTTGATGTTGTTGTTTTTTTTTTTATTTTTTTTTTTTGAGATGGATGGAGTCTCGCTCTCTTGCCCAGGCTGGAGTGCAGTGGCACTATCTCGGCTCACTGCAAGCTCCACCTCCTGGGTTCACACCATTCTCCTGCCTCAGCCTCCCAAGTACCTGGGACTACAGGTGCCCGCCACCACACCCAGCTAATTTTTTGTATTTTTAGTAGAGACAGCGTTTCACCATGTTAGCCAAGATGGTCTTGATCTCCTGACCTCGTGATCCACCCGCCTTCACCTCCCAAAGTGCTGGGATTACAGGCGTGAGCCACCGCGCCCAGCCTGATGTTCTTGAATTAAGTTGTAGTGCATTATACATTTCCCTAGAGTAGGGTTTAAATAAACAATGCAATTAGATGCCAATGAAATATTGGGATTTTAATGCAGATATTTAAATAATCACCATAAAAAACAAACAGAGATTTGGGGTCATATTTATTATATTGTAAATTTTTTTAAAAAAATGGAACTGAAGTGTATAATGTATTTGATTGCAAATATATAAAGAATTAACATCCTTGTTAAGTCAAACATCCTTGTTTATTTTTTATATCGGTACTAGAAGATAACAAAAAATAAAAATAAGTTATTTGATAAGATGGTGGTATTATGGATTAATCTTGTCCCGAACTTTATCTATTTTGTGATTACACTGTATTTTTTACTTTTTAAGATAAGGACTGATTTTGAAAATATGCATGAAGTTTACATAAGTAAAAAATACATATCAATCAAATTATTTTTATTGCAAAGAAAGATAAATTTTATGTGGGAGTATGAAAGCTTAAAATAATCCTGTAATTTACACTAACCCCTTTGTCTCTAATTTATATGCATGAGTTTTAAAGCCTTTGCATAAACTTAATTTTATATTATTTTCTCCTTTTAATCTGTCTTATATACAAATCGATGGTGTATATAAGATGAAAATGAGGCATTTCAAATCCACTCAACCATGATTATTTTCATTAGAATAAACTTTTTCTACTGCAAAATCTGTATGTAACATTTGGAAGCTGAGTTTCTGAAACTGGTAAATGCTCAGTGTTTTTGTTAGCCCAATCACTATGAGAACTTGTTTTACTATGCCTTCAGTAAGAAATTTATGGATAGATTTAGGCTTTCAGTCATTGCGTATTGGAAAATTTTGACCAACTATCCTACTGAGAAAAAATGAGGAAAGATGAATACTTACCTGAAGGCATGGAAAGTCAATAAGGCAATGAAGAATGAGAAGGTTAAGATTTGGAAGAAGAGAGGTATATCTAATATTTAGAGCTGATTTTGCTCTAAGTGTTTCTGTAGATTTCAGATGAGGTGACTGAGTGGCTGAGAAACTGAAAGGGGCCTTTGAAAATCTTGTGAAGCTAAAGGGACAAAATGTCAAGTTCAGTTCATTCTCAGAGAAGGCCCATTAAGTTTCCTGTATTTGGTTGACATTCTGAAGAGTTACATTCGGGAAGCATGGGAATGGAATCAAAATAAGTCAGCCTTGTATAGGTTGAAATCCAGTTTTGAATCATTTCAAGTCCTCATGTTGGATAAAGATACTCCCAGAATTCTGTGTCCCTAAAAGGTTGCAGAGACAAATGTAAATATTCTCCTGAGGACTATATCATCATCTGAAGCCACATTATTTTTACAATTTTGGATTTACAATGCTGCTCATTCAAAAATAACAGGCACAAAAATAGTTAAGAGAACAAGAACGAAAATAAAGAAAAAGCAATAGAAAATATAAACATACAAATGGAGAAATGTATTAGGAAGGAACTTATCAGACACATATGTGTTTATGCATTTATTTTAAAATTTATTAGTATTATTTTCTTCTTAGAGACAGGGTCTCACTCTGAACCAAGTTTGGAATGCAGTGCAATACTCAGTAATGTATCATAGCTCATTACACCTTGACTACGTGGGCTCAAGTGATCCTTCTGCCTCAGCCTCCTGAGTAGTTGGAACTACAGGCAGGCATCATCACACCTGGCTATTTTTTGTTTTAATTTTGTTTTTATAGAGACAGAGTCTTGTTTTGTTGCCCAGAGTTGTGTCTCTCTATCCCTCTCTTTCTCTCTAGATAGATAGAAAGATAGATAGATAAGACAGATAGACAAAGAAAATGGAAGTTTTATAACTGAAACAAAAATACAATATTTAAAATTGAGAAATCAATGGCTATGTTTAGAGGTAGTTTGGAGCAGGGGCAGAGCAAGATGGCTTAGAAGAAGCCTCCACCAATGACCCCTTCTGCAGGAACACCAAATTTTAACAACAAACTACACACAAAAAAAGTATCATCATAAGAACCAAAAACTAGGTGAATAATAACAGTACCTGGTTCTGGTTTTAAATTTATATTGCAAAAAGAGGCACTGAGGAAGGTGGCAAAGACAGTCTTGAATTGCAGATGCCACCCCTCCTCCATCCCCTGGCAGTGGCCATGTGGCATAGAGACAGAATCTGTGTACTTGAAGGAGGGAGAGCACAGCAACTGAGAGACTTAGCATTAAACTCAGTGCTGCCCGGTCACAGTAAACAGCAAAGCCATTCTGGTCTCCTTGGTGCCTGCCCATGGAGGAGCATATGGACAAGCCCTAGCCAGAGGGAAATTGCCCATCAAAGTGATTGAAATTTGGTGTCCACAAGCCTCACCACCACATGCTAAAGCACTCTGAGGTTCTAAGTAAACTTGAAAGGGAGTCTAGGACACAAAGACTGCAATTATTAGGCAAATCTTAGTATTGGGCTGGATTCAGAGCCAGTGGACTAGGGCAGCATGTGACCAATGGAGACATAAGCTGGGTCAGCTAAGGGAGTGCTTGCACCACCTCTCCTGCAACCCCAGGCAGCGCAGCTCACAGAAACAAAAGTGACTCCTTCCTTCTGCTTGAAGACAGGAGAGAAACGAATAAAAAGAACTTTGTCTTGCATCTTGGATACCAGCTCAGTCACAATAGAACAGGGCACCGGGCAGAGTCAAGGCCCACATTGCAGGCCCTATCTCCCAGATGGCATTTCTAGATACATCCTGGACCAGAATGGAACCAGCTGCATTGAAGAGAAGGACCCAGTCCTGGCAGAATTGTTCACCTGCTGACTGAAGAGCCTTGGGCCCTGAATAACCAACAGCAATACCCACATAGCATGCTGTGGGCCTTGGGTGAGACTGAAATGTGCTGGCTTCAGGTGAGACCTAGCACATTCCCAGCTCTGGTGGCTATGGTGAAAAACTCATTCTGCTTCAGAAAAACAGAGGAAAAATAAAGGGGACTAGCAAGAGAAAAGAAACAAATATACAATGGAGCTTCAATACATCCAGCAGCTGACTTTCCATTATAGGGCAGGAGAGAGTGGCACTGGAGAAAACAAAACAAAACAAAAAAACAAAAAACCCAACTTTATCCTAGAATAGTATATTTGGCAAAAATTACCTTCAAACATAATGGAGAAATAAATACTTTCCCAGACAAATAAACTATGAGGGAATTCATCAACACCAGGCCTGTCCTACAAGAAATGCTAAAGGGAGTTCTATCTGAAAGAAAAAATATGAATGAGCAATAAAATACCACCTGAAGGGTAAAACTCACTGGTCATAGTAAGAACATAGGAAAACACAGTATTTTATAATACTTTAAATATGGTGTATAAACTACTGTTATGCTAAGTCAAAAGACTAAATGATGAACAAATCCAAAATAATAACTACAAGTTTTCATGACATATACAGTACAATAGCATAAGTAGAAACAATAGAAATACAAAAGGTGGGGTTGCAAATTTAAAGAGTAGAGTTTTTATTAGTTTTCTTTTTGCATGTTTGTTAATGCAATTAGTGTTAAGTTGTCATCATTTAAAATAATGGTTTATAAGATAGTATTTGCAAGCCTAATGGTACCTCAATTCCAGAAACATACAATGAATTCAGAAAAAATTAAAAGCAAGACGTTAAATCATACCAACAGAAAAGAAAATGACCTTCATTAAAAGGCAAACAGGAAAGAGGAAAGAAGGAAGAGAAGATCACAAAACAACCAGAAAACAAATAACAAAATGGCAGAAGTATGTCTTTATTTATCAATAATAACATTGAATATAAATGGACTAAACTCTCCAATCAAAAGACATAGAGTGGCTGAATGGATTTAAAAAAAAAAGGCTCCAAATCTGTTGGCTATAAGAAACACACTTCATCTATAAAGATGTACACCAACTGAAAATAAATGGATGGAAGAAGATATTCCATGCCAACGGAAATGAAAACGGAGCAGGTACTTTTATATCCAAAAAATAAATTTCAGGACAAAAACTATAAGAAGAGACAAAGAAGGTCATTGTATAATAATAAAGGGGTCAATTCAGCAAGAGGATATAACAATTGCAAATATATATGCACCCAATGCTGGAGCAACCAGCTATACAAAGAAAATATTATTAGAGCTACAGAGAGAGGTAGACATCAATACAGTAATAGCTGGAGACTTCAACACCCAACTCTTAGCATTGAACAGATCTTCCAGACAGAAACCCCCCAAAAAACATGAGACTGAATCTGCACTACAGATCAAATGTACAGAATAGATATTTACAGAACATTTCATGCAAAGGCTACAGAATATACAATCTTTTTCTCAGTACATGATCATTTTTAAGTATGGAACATATGTTAGGTCACAAGATAAGTCTTAAAACATTCAAAAATTTTAAATAATATGAAGCAACTTCTCTGATCACAGTGAAATAAAACTAAAAATCACTAACAAGAGAATATTCAGAAACTATACACACATGCAAAAATTAAACAACAGGATCCTGTTTGACCAATGGGTCAATGAAGAAACTAAGGAAGAAAGAAACTGAAAAATTTCTTGAAACAAATAATAATGTAAACATGACATACCTAAACCTTCAGGATACAGCAAAAGCAGGACTAACAGGGATGTTTATAGCTATAAGAACCTACATTGAAATGGAAAAAAACTTCAAATAAACAACCAGATAAGTCATTTTTAAGAACTAGAAAACCAAGAGCTAACAAAACCCAAAATTAGTAGAAGAGAAATGATAATAATCAGAGCAGTGATAAATTAAATTGAAATAAACAACACAAAAGTTCAATGAAATAAAAAGTTGTGTTTTTGAAAAGGTAAAAAAAAAAAAAAAAAAAAAAAGACAAACCTTTGGTCAGATTAACTAAGGCAAAAAGAGAGAAGACCCAAATAAATAAAGTTGGAGATGAAAAAAAGATTACAACTGATACCATAGAAATTCAGAGGATCATTAGTGGCCATAAGAAATAATTATATGCCAATAAATTGGAAAATCTAGAGGAAATGGATAAATTCCTAGACACATACAATGTACCAAGATTGAATCAGGAAGAAATCTCAAACCTGAGTAGACCAAAAACAAGTAGCAAAATCAAAGGCATAATAAAAAGGTTCCCAGTAATGAAAAGCCTGTGACCTGAGGGTTTCACTGTTGAATTCTACCAAACATTAAAAAAATGATGCCAATGCTACTCAAACTATTTTGAAAAACTGAGGAGGAAATACTTCTAAACTCATTCTATGAGGTCAGTACCAACATCAAACAAATATATGAAATAAAGGAAATTACAGACCAATATCACTGGTAAATATAGATGCAAAAATCCTAAACAAAATGCTAGCAAACCAAATTCAACAATGAATTTAGAAGGTCATTCATCATGACCAAGGATGAATTATTCCAGAGATGTAAAGAGGGTTCAACCTATGTGAATTAATCAATGTGGTACATGATATCAGTAGAATAAAGGAGAATAACCATTGATCGTTTCAACTGCTGCTGAAAGAGCATTTGATAAAATTCAGCATCCCTTTATGATAAAAACTCTAAAACTGGGTGAAGAAGGAGTATACCTCAATATAATAAAAACCATATACAATAGACTCACAGCTGATATCACATTGAATGGGGAAAACCTGAAAGCTATTCCTCTAAAATATGGAACACGACAAGCATGCCCACAATGGCCATTGTTATTGAACACAATGTCAGAAGTCTTAGCTACAGCAAACAAGATAAAGAAGTAAAGGACATCATAGTTGTAAAGAAAGAAGCTAAATTATCCTTGTTTGCAGACGATATGCTCTTATATTGGGAAGAATCTAAAGACTCCACTAAAATACTATTAGAACTGATAAACAAGCCAGGTGCAGTGGCTCACACCTGTAATCCTTGCACTCAAACTCAGGGGTTTGAGACCAGCCTGGCCAACATGGCAAAACCCCATCTATACTAAAAATACAAAACTTAACTGAGCATGGTGGTGCATGCCTGTGATCCCAGCTACTCAGGAGACTGAGACAGGAGAATCATTTGAACCCAGGAGGTGGAGTTTTCAGTAAGATGAGATTGCATCACTGCACTCCACCCTGGGTAACAGAGCAAGACTCCATCTCAAAAAAAAAAAAAAAAGAAACAAAAAAAAAAAGCAAAAAAAAAACAAAACAAAAGACCTATTTAACAAATTCAGTAAAGTTGCAGGATACAAAATCAACAAACAAAAATCAGTGGCATTTCTCTTTGCCAATAGTGAACAATCTGAAAAAGAAATTAAGAAAGTTACTCAATTTATAATAGTTGCAAATAAATTTAATTACCTAGGAATTAATTTAACCAAAGAAATGAACAATCTCTACAATGAAAATAATAAAATACTAATGAAAGAAATTGAAGAAGACACAAAAAATGGAAAGATATTCCATGTTCATGGATTGGAAGAATAAATACTGTTAAAATGTCCATATTACCCAAAGCAATCTACAGATTCAATGCAATTCCTGTCAAAATACCAATTATGTCTTTCACAGAAACAGAAAAAAAAAAAATCTAAAATTTATTTGGAACCAGAAAAGACCCAGAATAGCCAACACCTTCTGAACAAAAAGAACAAAACTGGAGGAATCACATTACCTGACTTCAAATTATACTACAGAGCTATAGTAACCAAAACAGAATTGCACTAGCATAAAAACAGACACATATACCAATGAAACCAAAGAAAGAACCCAGAAGCAAATTCACACACCTACAGTGAATTGCTTTTCAACAAAGGTGTCAAGAACATACACTGGAGAAAAGACAATCTGTTCCATAAATGGTGGTGGGAAAACTGAATATTCATATTCAGAAGAATAAAATCAGACCCCTATATCTCATAATATACATAAATCAAATCAAATTGGATTAAATACTTACATCTAAGGCCTCAAAATATAAATATACTACAATAAAACACCAGGTAAACTCTCCAGGAAATTGGAGTGGGCAAAGATTTCTTAAGTAATAACACGTAAGCACAGTCAACCAAAGCAAAAATGTACAAATGGGATCACATCAAGTTAAAAAGCTTCTGCATGGCAAAGGAAATAATCAACAAAGTGAAGAGACTACCAACAGAATGGAAGAAAATATTTGCAAACTACCCATATAACAAGGGATTAATAACCAGAATGTATAAGAATCTCTAACAACTCAATAGGAAAAACAAATCTAAGAATCCAATTTAAAAATGGACTAAAGATCTGAATAAACATTTCTCAAAGGAAGACATACAAATGACAAACAGGCATATAAAAAGGTGCTCAACATCACTGATCATCAGAGAAATGCAAATAGAAGCTACAATGAGATATCATCTCGCCCCAGTGAAAATGGCTTATATCCAAAAGACAGGGTATAACAAACACTGGAGAAGATATGGACAAAAGAGAACCCCAGTACACTGTTAGTGGGAATGTAAATTAGTACAACTACTATGGAGAACAATTTGGAGATTCCTCAAAAAATGAAAAGTAAAGCTACCATATGATCCATCAATATCACTGCTAGGTATATACCTTCAAAGGAAGGAAATGAGTATATAGAAAAGATATACGTGTTCTCACATTTATTGCAGCACTGTTCACAATAGCCAAGATTTGGAAGCAACCTAAGTGTCTGTCAACAGACAAATAACTAAAGAAAATGTGGTACATATACATAATGGAGTTGTATTTGGTCATAAAAAAGAATGAGATGCTGTTACTTGCAACAACATGGATGAAACTGGAGGTAATTGTGTTAAGTGAACACAAAAAGCACAGAAAGGCATATTTCACATGTTCTCATTTATTTATGGGAGCTAAAAATTAAAATGAATGAACTCGTGGAGATAGAGAGTAGAAAGGGTGATCAGAATCTGGGAAGTGTAGTGGGATAGAGGGGAAGCAGGCATGGTTAATGGGCACATCAATTAATTTGAAAGAGTGAATAAGATCTAGTATTTGATGGCACAACATGGTGACTATAGTGAATAATAACTTAATGGTGCATTTAAAAATAACTAAAAGATTATAACTGAATTGTTTGTTACACAAAGAATAAATGCTCGAGGGCATGAATATCCCATTTACCATGGTGCAATTATTATGCATTGTAAACCTGAATCAAAATATCTCATGTACTTCTCATATATATATGTGCAGTTCTTATATACACATATATCTTATGTACTCTCTATATATACACCATATACACACATACATATGTGTGTATATATATAGTAGTAGGTATACATATATATGTATACATCATAGTACGTATGTACACATACCATATATATACACATATATACACACACATACACAATAAAAGCAGATTGGGCACAGTTGAAGACAGAATTAATTACCTGAGATATGACTTTATGACAGAATCAAGGGTGGCTAGAAGAGAAAGGAATGGTATCTCCAAGGTGCCAAGATAGAATAACTACCAGTGAGATTCCTAAACCCAAAAGATTTTTCTTTAAGATTAAAGATGAAGACAATCTTGAAGCCACAATAACAAAAACATCCTGAATTTATTACTAGAGATAAATTAAAAGAAATAATAAAGACTTGCTTTCTGTTGATAAGAAGTAAATCCCAACTGGAATGCCAATCATGCAGAAGGGAATAGAAAAACAGTGAAATTTTAATTATTTGGAATGAATATAAATAAATAGTTACTCTACAAAAAAGCAATAACAATCATTCCTAGGATTTAAAGTATTTGTAGAATAAAAACTATGACAACGATAATTCAGGAGGTGGGTCAAAGGATTTGAGTTATTTTAGCTCCTTGCATTGTACTACAATAGGTAAATATGCCAATTAAGCTCATCCCCATTTCAGAACACCTTATCCCTTTTCCTTCTTTATTTCTCTACATAGCCCTATCAGGAACTGGCTATGTATATATGTTGGCTACTCATATTTACTGTCTCTCTCTATTTCATTCTGATATAGTTTGTCTGTGTCCCTACCCAAATCTCACCTTAAATTGTAATAATCCCTATGTGTCATGGGTGGGACCTGGTGGGAGGTAAATGAATTACGGGGGAAGGTTTTTCCTGTGCCGTTCTCGTGATACCGAATAAGTCTCACAAGATCTGATGGTTTTATAAATGGGAGTTCCCCTGCCCAAGCTCTCTTGCCTGCTGCTATGTAAGATGTGACTTTGCTCCTCCTTTGCCTTCTGCCATGATTGTGAGGCCTCCCCAGCCATGTGGAACTGTGAGTCAATTAAATCTCTTTTCCGGCTAGGCGTAGTGGCTCACGCCTGTAATCCTGGCACTTTGGGAGGCAGAGGCGGGTGGATCACTGAAGGTCAGGAGTTCAAGACAAGCCTGGCCAACATGGCAAAACCCTGTCTCTACTAAAAATACAAAAATTAGCCAGATGTGGTGGTGGGAGCTTATAATCCAAGTTACTCGGGAGGCTGAGGCAGGAGAATTGCATGAATCCGGGAGGCGGAAGTTGCAGTGAGCCAAGATTGTGCCACTGCACTCCAGCCTGAGCAACAAGAGTGAAATTCCATCTCAAAAAAACAAAACAAAAAAAAACCTCTTTTCCTTATAAATTATCCAGTCTCGGGTATGTCTTTATTAGCAGCATGACAACAGACTAATACACATTCATTGTATTAATAACACCTCGCATCAGCAGCTAGGAAAACATATGCCCCAAAACATTTGTTGAATCAATTAATAATCAATATAGTGGTAAAATATTTGCAAATGTACTTCTTGATATAATGTAGTAATATACAAATAATTGCTCATATGTAGTAAATACTGTTAAAAATAATAAATCTTAAAGGGGTCATTTGGAAAAGATATGTCTGTTTCACTCTGTCTTTTAGCTTTGACTTATCAAAATCAGCTGGGTTGGTAGTATGATATACTGACATAATCCAAGTCAACATGACATTTTAATGATTGTCAAAGTGTAAAATATGAAGGTTACAATGGATCATAATATCATGAGAAAGATGATTAATGATTACCTTTATAAATGTTAATGTATTTTATTCTGTGGAATATCAGAGTTATTTATGTCATTTTCCATATATATGCAAATTAATTTAACTGTGGAAGTAGCAGGTTATCATCTTGTCTCTATATAAAAATATGTGTAGTTTAAGATAGTGACACAGATTTTTTGAATTATTTAAAATGTTTCTCTCTATACCTACATAGAAATGTGACAAAAAGGTTTATTGAATTAAGATGTTTTTGGTAATGTTAAGTTCTCCATGCCAACCATATATTTTTCAATTAACAAATCAATGTCAGTGGGAATACATTATGTTAGATGAGAGAGTAAATAAATAGCATTTCCAAGTAAATCATCTGGAAGGAGTGAAAAACTTAAAAATATAAGCTGTTTAATAAAATGCCATGCATCAGTCAGAGTCCTGGCAGGAGGGGAAAAAACACACTTAAATGAGTTAAAGTGAGTTTCACAAAAGTGCTATTTATAAAGTGGTAGACAGGATATGGGGCACAGAGAAGGGATGGTGTTGTATTCCAGAGCTTAGCGACTACAGGGAGCTGCTTCCATTTCTGGGCCTGAGTAAAGAATAGAGCAGTTGTTAGAATTGGAGAGAAGTAGAGCTGGGGCTCTGGTTCTAAGGGAGAGATGCCCAACAGAAGATGAGGCGTCCTACAAAGGTATACGGCCCAGCAGGCAGTGAGCTGAGGGAATTAAGCGTCCTCCCTCATTTTCCTTTTGCCTTCAGAGCTCCGCCTTGTATCTCTCATTGTCCAAATACAACCCCAAAGACCGATGGCAAAGGAATATGGGAGATTCAGTTCCTCAAATTTAGTCTTCTGGGAGACCAAACAGAATGGAGAAGGGCAATTACTACATTTGCAGGGGCAAAGGCACAATATTAAGCACATACTCTTAATAACTAAACAGATAAAAGTGAAATAAAACATGAAGTTACAAATATTGCACTGTATTTTTGACTGGTGCTACATGGTTTCCATGTTATTCTGATGATTATGTAAATCATAACGTTTAAAGTGAATAAATAAATCTATCACACAATGAAAACTATTTCAGAAAAAACACATTTTAAAAGCCTGAAGTCAAAGTGTATTTCTCATAACCATATTGGAAATCGTGTAAATAAACCCTAGTAATGCAACCACTCATCATGTAAGTTGAGGTTTGGGGACAGTAAATGGATGCTAAAGCAATGAACAGAATACATTAAATAAAAATTGAATCATTTTCAGTAATACATTCTTTTTTTTTCTTTTTTAAAATATTTTATTTTATTTTATTTATTTATTTATTTTTATTATACTTTAAGTTTTAGGGTACATGTGCACAACGTGCAGTTTAGTTACATATGTACACATGTGCCATGTTGGTGTGCTGCACCCATTAACTCGTCATTTAGCATTAGGTATATCTCCTAATGCTAGCCTTCCCCCCTCCCCCCACCCCACAACAGGCCCTGGTGTGTGATGTTCCCCTTCCTGTGTCCAGGTGTTCTCATTGTTCAATTCCCACCTATGAGTGAGAACATGCGGTGTTTGGTTTTTTGTCCTTGCGATAGTTTGCTGAGAATGATGGTTTGCAGCTTCATCCATGTCCCTAAAAAGGACATGAACTCATCGTTTTTTATGGCTGTGTAGTATTCCATGGTGTATATGTGCCACATTATCTCAATCCAGTCTATCATTGTTGAACATTTGGCTTGGTTCCAAGTCTTTGCTATTGTGAATAGTGGCACAATAAACATACGTGTGTATGTGTCTTTATAGCAGCATGTTTTATAATCCTTTGGGTATATACCCAGTAATGAGATGGCTGGGTCAAATGGTATTTCTAGTTCTAGATCCCTGAGGAATTGCCACACTGACTTCCACAATGGTTGAACTAGTTTACAGCCCCACCAACAGTGTAAAAGTGTTCCTATTTCTCCACATCCTCTCCAGCACCTGCTGTTTCCTGACTTTTTAATGATCACCATTCTAATTGGTGTGAGATGGTATCTCATTGTGGTTTTGATTTGCATTTCTCTGATGGCCAGTGATGATGAGCATTTTTTCATGTGTCTTTTGGCTGCATAAATGTCTTCTTTTGAGAAGTGTCTGTTCATATCCTTTGCCCACTTTTTGATGAGGTTGTTTGTTTTTTTCTTGTAAATTTATTTGAGTACATTGTAGATTCTGCATATTAGCCCTTTGTCAGATGAGTAGATTGCAAAAATTTTCTCCCATTCTGTAGGTTGCCTGTTCACTCTGATGGTAGTTTCTTTTGCTGTGCAGAAGCTCTTTAGTTTAATTAGATCCCATTTTTCAATTTTGGCTTTTGTTGCCATTGCTTTTGATGTTTTCGACATGAAGTCCTTGCCCATGCCTATGTCCTGAATGGTATTGCCTAGGTTTTCTTCTAGGGTTTTTATGGTTTTAGTTTTAACATTTAAATCTTTAATCCATCTTGAATTAATTTTTGTATAAGGTGTAAGGAAAGGATCCAGTTTCAGCTTTCTACATATGGCTAGCCAGTTTTCCCAGCACTATTTATTAAATAGGGAATCCTTTCCCCATTGCTTGTTTTTGTCAGGTTTGTCAAAGATCAGATAGTTTTAGATATGTGGCATTATTTCTGAGGGCTCTGTTCTGTTCCATTGGTCTGTATCTCTGTTTTGGTACCAGTACCATGTTGTTTTGGTTACTGTAGCCTTGTAGTATAGTTTGAAGTCAGGTAGCATGATGCCTCCAGCTTTGTTCTTTGGGCTTAGGATTGACTTGGCGATGCGGGCTTTTTTTTGGTTCCATATGAACTTTAAAGCAGTTTTTTCCAATTCTGTGAAGAAAGTCATTTGTAGCTTAATGGGGATGGCATTGAATCTATAAATCACCTTGGACAGTATGGCCATTTTCATGATATTGATTCTTCCTACCCATGAGCATGGAATGTTCTTCCATTTATTTGTATCCTCTTTTATTTAATTGAGCAGTGGTTTGTAGTTCTCCTTGAAGAGGTCCCTCACATCCCTTGTAAGGTGGATTCCTAGGTATTTTATTCTCTTTGAAGCAATTGTGAATGGGAGTTCACTCTTGATTTGGCTCTCTGTTTGTCTGTTATTGGTGTATAAGAATGCTTGTGATTTTTGTACATTGATTTTGTATCCTGAGACTCTGCTGAAGTTGCTTATCAGCTTAAGGAGATTTTGGGCTGAGACGGTGGGGTTTTCTAGATATACAATCATGTCATCTGCAAATGGGGACAATTTGACTTCCTCTTTTCCTAATCGAATACCCTTTATTTCCTTTTCCTGCCTGATTGCCCTGGCCAGAACTTCCAACACTATGTTGAATAGTAGTGGTGAGAAAGGGCATCCTTGTCTTGTGCCGGTTTTCAAAGGGAATGCTTCCAGTTTTTATCCATTCAGTATGATATTGGCTGTGGGCTTGTCATAGATAGCTCTTATTATTTTGAGATATGTCCCATCAATACCTAATTTATTGAGAATTTTTAGCATGAAGGTTGTTGAATTTTGTCCAAGGCCTTTTCTGCATCTGTTGAGATAATCATTGGTTTTTGTCTTTGGTTCTGTTTGTATGCTGGATTATGTTTATTGATTTCTGTATGTTGAACCAGCCTTGCATCCCAGGGATGAAGCCCACTTGATCATGGTGGATAAGCTTTTTGATGTGCTGCTGGATTCAGTTTGCCAGTATTTCATTGAGGATTTTTGCATCGATGTTCATCAGGGATATTGGTCTAAAATTCTCTTTTTTGGTTGTGTCTCCGCTAGGCTTTGGTTTCAGGATGATGCTGGCCTCATAAAATGAGTTAGGGAGGATTCCCTCTTTTTCTATTGATTAGAATAGTTTCAGAAGGAATGGTACCAGCTCCTCCTTACACCTCTGATAGAATTCAGCTGTGAATACATCTGGTCCTGGACTTTTTTTGGTTGGTAAGCTGTTAATTATTGCCTCAATTTCAGAGCCTGTTATTGGTCTATTCAGAGATTCAACTTCTTCCTGGTTTAGTCTTGGGAGGGTGTATGTGTTGAGGAATTTATCCATTTCTTCTAGATTTTCTAGTTTATTTGCATAGAGGTGTTTATAGTATTCTCTGATGGTAGTTTGTATTTCTGTGGGATTGGTGGTGATATCCCCTTTATCATTTTTTATTGCATCTATTTGATTCTTCTCTCTTTTCTTCTTTATTAGTCTTGCTAACAGTCTATCAATTTTGTTGATCTTTTCAGAAAACCAGCTCCTGGTTCATTGATTTTTTGAAGGGTTTTTTGTGTCTCTATCTTCTTCAATTCTGCTCTGATCTTAGTTATTTCTTGCCTTCTGCTAGCTTTTGAATGTGTTTGCTCTTGCTTCTCTAGTTCTTCTAATTGTGATGTTAGGGTGTCCATTTTAGATCTTTCCTGCTTTCTCTTGTGGGCATTTAGTGCTATAAATTTCCCTCTACACACTGCTTTGAATGTGTCTCAGAGATTCTGGTATGTTGTGTCTTTGATCTCATTGGTTTCAAAGAACATCTTTATTTCTCCCTTCATTTCGTTATGTACCCAGTAGTCATTCAGGAGCAGGTTGTTCAGTTTCCATGTAGTTGAGCAGTTTTGAGTGAGTTTCTTAATCCTGAGTTCTAGTTTGATTGCACTGTGGTCTGAGAGACAGTTTGTTATAATTTCTGTTCTTTTACATTTGCTGAGGAGTGCTTTACTTGCAACTGTGTGCTCAATTTTGGAATAGGTGTGCTATGGTGCTGAAACGAATGTATATTCTGTTGATTTGGGGTGGAGAGTTCTGTAGATGTCTGTTAGGTCCACTTGGTGCAGAGCTGAGTTCAATTCCTGGATATCTTTGTTAACTTTCTGTCTCATTGATCTGTCTAGTGTTGACAGTGGGGTGTTAAAGTCTCCCATTATTATTGTATGGGAGTCTAAGTCTCTTTGTAGGTCTCTAAGGACTTGCTTTATGAATCTGGGTGCTCCTGTATTGGGTGCATATATATTTAGGATAGTTAGCTCTTCTTGTTAAATTGATCCCTTTACCATTATGTAATGGCCTTCTTTGTCTCTTTTGATCTTTGTTGGTTTAAAGTCTGTTTTATCAGAGACTAGCATTGTGACCCCTGCCTTTTTTTTGTTTTCCATTTGCTTGGTAGATCTTCCTCTACCCCTTTGTTTTGAGCCTATGTGTGTCTCTGCACGTGAGATGGGTTTCCTGAATACAGCACACTGATGGGTCTTGACTCTTTGTCCAATTTGCCAGTCTGTGTCTTTTAATTGGAGCATTTAGCCCATTTACGTTTAAGGTTAATATTGTTATGTGTGAATTTGATCCTGTCATTATGATGTTAGCTGGTTATTTTGCTCGTTAGTTGATGCATTTTCTTCCTAGCCTCGATGGTGTTCTTAATAAGATTTGAGGCTTTGTCTTAACAAATTATAATTTTTTATCATGTCTAGATTAACCAATGCTTTCACGATACTATGATCCATAAGCTTATTCATTTATTTAACCATTTGATTAGCAACTACTATGTTCCAGGGATTACATATCAGTCAGAAATGAACACTGTTTTTTTTTGGTTTGCACTCTTTATAAAAGATACTAGATATTTGAAATAATTTCTTATACTTTTATAGGTGTGTAGAAAAAATTCTCTCTAACCATGTTTTTCTCCTACTCTAATACCACAGTAATCATCAATGCAGAAAGCTTCTGTGACAATACTTGTGGGTATATTCCCCCCACACACCAAGAGGCAGACACCAGCTAGGTGTTCTCTCATTCAGTTAGAGAGCTATCTGACTGAATTAGATAGTGTTCAGTTACAGACAACTAACTCCAGGTAGATAGTGTCAGATCCCACAGGTTGAGGAATCAGTCCGCAGGACTGTACCCCACCCCACACTAGTGGTAAGTCTGGGCCTGTAAAACTTCTAACCAACCAGCCTTAAGTTGGTATTTCCATGACCCCCTGTTTGGGTTCAATTAATTTGCTGTAGCAGCTCCAAGAACTTAGGGAAACAGTTATGTTTATTGGTTTATTACAAAGGATATTGCAAAGAATACAGTTGAAAAGATGGGATGTGTGGGGAAAGGGATATGGAGCCTCCATGCCCTCCCTGGGTGCACCACCCTCCAGGAATCTCCACATGTTTACCTATCTGGAAGCTCAATGAACCCTGTCCTCTTGGGTTTTTATGGAGGCTTCATGACATTGGCATTTCTTCCCCCAGGGTATAGGATGAGACTATGAGACTCTTTCATGGGAAGGTCTTAAGATTCACAATCTTAAAAATGGGGAAACTTAGAGTCCTGCCCTGGGGCAGGTAAAATGAGGGCGTAAGAAGGTCAGAGGCCTGCCCTTGAGGACTAACACACCCAACGTAATAACAACAGACTAACAAGAGCTATGAGATTTACGAGCCAGGAACCTTCACTGGAAACTGATATATGATAACACTACAGCATGTTAGAACATATCACACATTACTTACATTTACTAAATATTAATATTGGAAGGCATGTCCTGATAGTTGACCATCAATCTATTAAACAAAATATTGCTGTACTCAATGGCATATTAACAGACTCATTTATTTTACAGTAAATGTTACCAAGAGGAATTTCTTTAATAACAACAGTACACCCCAAAGGAATAGGATAAAGATGTTTTATAATTATATTGATTTTCAAACTTTATTTTGTCTATTTATTTTTTTGAGAAAGGGTCTAAAAACATTTTGCCCAGGCTGAGGGCAGTGATATGATCACCGCTCGCTGTGTTAGTGGTGGAAGAGATCTGAGTTACCCTGAGTTACCGGTGGCTTAACCATAGGGGTCCATAACAACTTCAATCCTCGCCTCCTCAGAAGAAAGAATTTGACTCAGGGGCATAAAGCAGAAAAAGAGACTAAGGCAATTTTCAAAGCAGAAGTGAAGTATATTTAAAAAGCTTTTACAATAGGAAAGAAAGGAAAGAACCCTTGGAAGAAATTCAACTGGGAGCTTGAAGGTCAAAGAGAGAAAAAAACAAGTGCCTTTAACCTTGATTCTGGGACTTTATAAGCTTGCCTCTTTCTCATGATTCTTCCCTTAGGGTGGGCTTCAGGCATGCAAAGTGTCCTCCTTACCTTTCAGAATTGAGCATGTGCAGTGTGTTTAGGGAGTTATGTGCATATCCATTTGAGGCTTTTTTCCTGTTTCTGGTAGAGTGTACACAGAAGATCATACTTCGCCATTTTTGTCTCTTAATGTGCATGCCCAGGACCTTTCTTCTCCCTAGGGCTTGCCTTTAATTAACACTTTAATGTTAACACAGAAACTCGTGGTTCATGATTTCAGAAATGGACTAATTATTTATTAACTACATATAAGTCAGTGTCTCTGAGAAAACAGAATGTATTGAATTGGTTTAAATGAAAAGCATTTATTATGGTATATGTACATATAAGAGGACAAGAACAACTAAATGACATTGTAACACCAAGACACTAGAAACACCAGGAAACCATTTCCACCCCTGGGAAGGACTGAATATTTCCTGGAGCCCCCAGAAAGATTTATAAAAGGAGAGGTGTCATTGCTGCCAGAGTAGAAGCACTGATACGGGGAGGGAAGCGGAAGGATATATTCTAACTTCCCTCTTTCTACCTTTCAATCTCTATTATCATTTCCTTTTGGCCAAAATTACTCGAAGTCAGATGGCAAGGGCTTCAGGTGATATCCCCCAGAGCACCGAGAGGGCAGAAAAAGATATTTAGAGGTAAATGAAAAATAACAAGCAGAATAAGTAACAACGTTCGTCACATCCATCTCTGCAACATACTAATCAAATTTATGTAAGTTTTATTTATCTTTTGGCTGAAAATTCAAAGCATTATTTTCCTTTTTTTATTCTTTAAACCATTTTTTGGAGGTGAAGAAAACCACATTTTAAAAAGCAGTAGCCATTCATCCATTCATTTTGTAAGATAGTTCTAATTTTACAAAGAAATCTCAAGCCACTTCATTGTTGTAAAAGTAAGAAAAGTTTATTAATGACTTCAATTTCAAAGTACTTTTGATTAATTAGAGCCAAGTACAGTGAGAGGCAAACTACTTTTCATTAATGATTCTTTTTATTGCTTCTATTATAAATGTCTTTAATTGACAGCACACATTTTCCAAATAGTCTGTATTATTAGATTAGAAGCCTGATGCTGTTCACATCTGGGTATATGAGCAAGAAACAATTAAATTTAATAATAGTGAAAAGAACCCACAGTAATCCATCAGGCCACTACTATAGCATAAGCAGTGAAGTTGAGTGGGTGCCAAATTAGAAAATAAATCCATAAAAATATGCCAATTATGGTAAACCTAATAAAATTCCCTTTCAATTTCAAGTAAATGTGAACCATCCTCATCACCTTGAATAGAACCTCTTAGGAATCTATTGCTTCTGAATTTTAGATGCCTCATAATGCACATTAGTTGCAAACATTTTATGAAAGCTTAATGAGAAGATACATTTTTAAAGCAATGATTACCCCATTGGGCTATATAACTCAACTATTGAAACTTATTCTTATAACTGAATATCTATGACTAACACATCTGTGACTTAATTTGTATGTAATTTGGTATAATTACTCTGAGTTTTAGTTGGACAAATAAGGAGTAACCACCCAAGAACACTGAGAGAATCATATGCAGTTTACTATTTTTTTTTACGATACTGTATTCCTATCCAGATCTGACATTACTTTCATTTAACTAAGTAAAACATTTAAAAAATCTTTAAATTAAAAACTACTCTCACCATAAATCTAATATTTTAGGAATAAAATAACTCTAATCCCTGAATTACAATGGATTTGTATTAAGTTATGCAAAACTGAGAATTTAACTCAAATATATTTTTCTGTATCATTGTAGGCATGGCAAGGAGATGAACTTGTAGTCAAGGAAAAGTGAGGAGTAAGAGAGAGAAGAGAGTCTAATTACGCACTGGTTTCCACAGAGTAGTGCAAGTTGCCAACTGCAAGAACCTGTCCCTTCTTGAGATTCTGTCTCTTCTACTCTAAAAATTTTCTCTCAAAGCAAAGCCCTAAATTAATCTTGGAAAATTCTGCTTAGTGTTAAGTAAAATATATATGCCAGGGACTGAATTAAGACTTTTAAATGTTTAATTTGTGGAGGAAGGAAAATCCAAATTGCTGGTTCGAAATTAGAAATATGTTTGTATTCCTCCGAAGAGAGAGGTCAGTACTGTAGAAAAAGTGAAGTTGAGTGGGTGCCAAATTAGAAAATAAATTTCTCAGAGAGATTATTTTGAGGAATACAAACACATACTGATTGCCGGGGCGTATTGATTCTCAGGGCTTGAGACCTCAGCAATAATTGTTCACCTCCAAATAGAATTTCTCTAGTTCTTAAGTTGTATTCCAAGTATGCTATGAATACTGTGTTACCTCTTTTCCAGAGTAAGTTTTGGGAAGAGAGAGGGTAAGAGAACACAAAGAAATCAGGCATATTATTGTTAATAGGAGAGGAACGGGGTAATAAAGTTGACACACCTGTTTTACAATTCCTCCCAGGGCCAGCCCTAGAGATGTCCCAAATCTTTAGTGGCAATTGAATCACGAGATAGAATCAATTAGAAACAAGGCAGATTCACTGGGGAATTGAGGTTTTAAAAAATGAATTTTTGCATCCTTTTTCTTGCTAAATGCAATGTGAAATCCTTCATAATTCTCTACAGTATACTTCTATTTCTTGAAAATATCAAATTTAAAAAGTAAAATATTTTGCTTATTTATTCTCATGTTATGTGACATAAAGGTGTTTTTTATTACACTTATATTTGGACTGTCTGAGTAATCGTTTAAGATATTACTTTTTTTCTTATTTACACTCATCTCATTTTTCTTTCTGCTTAAGGCAGCATATTTTCTGTCTTTTGTTTCTAAAACCCTTAGTTTTAGAGTGAAGAGAGGATAGACAAGATCAATAAAGTGAACTAGGTTAAACTACAAAACTTGGTATAAGTTCTAAATCTGGGGAGAATTATGACTCAGTCATGTCTAAGACTGCTTTCAGTTTGGTTTACTACCAAACCAGGACAAAGATTTAATGCAAAGGACAAACACAAGATTAGGATATAGCGGAGTAGATATACCTAGTCTTAGTACCCGCATGATGTGAGAATATACCAGATTAGAGGAACTCAGAATTATGGACTCCTTCCCTCAATACTATTCCAGACTATGGGGTCATAGGAGGGCATAGTGGTATTCCAGTCTCCACACAAGATTATGAGGATATGACATAAGGGGATTCTTCCTTGGCCAGAGTTAGGTACTGTACTTTTAAGTTCTTTTTACTACATCATCAGGTCTACTCAAAATTTTTATTTGGAAAGCCTAACCATGGCCTATCGTAAAAAACTAAAATGATATTTTTCCCAATGAAGGGAAAGAGATCACACAGATCACACACACACACCCCAGAGAGAGAGAGAGAGAGAGAGAGAGAGAGCGAGAGTGAGAAAGCTAGAGAGAGAGAGTCAGTCTAGGCAGAGGTAGAAGCTATGCTGAAGAAGGACAGATGTTAATTTTTTTTTAATCTTACCAAAAAAAATAGAGACTTAAGATCCAAAATTAATTCACGGAAAATAATTATACTTCTGTAACACCTGAATTTGTGAACTGAGTTTCATTTGTCTTATAGCCATTAATTATTTTTGCATTATATTTGTGAAGTTAATAGGTATTAACTATTAATAGGTTAATAGGTCTTGAGACTCCACCTGCCCTTGAACTTAATCCTTTTTATTTTTCTCCTCATTGACTTTTTAAGATACTTTTATTTGAGCTCATTATCCAAAATTCATGCTGTAGTACCCTATTTGTTGTTGGTAACTATGTTGTTATAAACTGAATGTTTGTGTCTCTCCATATTCATATGTTGAAATCTAATCTCCCATGTGATGGTATCCCCCACCTTCAAAGGTGGGGGCTTTGGAAGGTTATTAGGTCATGAGGTAAGAGTCCTCGTGAATGAGATGAGTGCCCTTATACGAGGCCATAGAACTAGCTAGTTCTCTTTCCACTATATGAGATTACAAGTCAGCTGTCTGCAACCCGAAAGAGACCCCTCACCAGAACCTGACCATGCTGGCACTCCAATCTTGAACTTTCAGGCTCAAGAACTGTGAGAAATAATTTGTTGTGTAAGCCACTGAGCCTATGGTAATTTTTTATAGCAGCCTGAGCTAACTAAGGCACAGGTTAATTATAGCTCCTATTTTATTGCTCAGACACATGGTGATAATGAGCGTGACTGCTCATTTCCCACAATGAACGAAACAACATATTTTATAAAACTTATCTTTTTGTTTCTTTTTAAAATCACATTTGATCATCTATACATTAAATTTCCTTGGAAAAATAAATATTTTCTTGCTAGACATATTGAGACTTAAAAAAATATTTTCATTAAAATAGTAATCAGTTGTTATCATTACGAATGCTTAGCAAAGCAAAATGGAGAAGTTAGAGCATTAAGCCTTTTCAGCCATATTATTATATACTACAGACAAAGTTCCTTCCTTGGCAAGAGAAAATGGATTGTTATTTTTTAACTGGCAAGAACAGTATTGTGTGAATGTCATCTTAAAAATACGTTGCATACATCAATGTCAAGGCTGTATTATTTTGTTCCATATGGAAGCGAATAAGCCTCATAAGAGTTACTTCATTATAGATTATCTAAGACAACTTGCAGGTGTCCACATGGAACTTAAAACCTCTGTACAACTGAATATGAATCATTTGAAATATTTTGTTGGCAATTATAGACAAAATCCTTGCCTTTATTATAACAATTGCTTTCTAGACCGCTTTGAAATATTTCTTTAAAAGCAATACAAAAACCCTCAAAAACAGATCTATAATTTTAAAGATCTATAAATATAAAAATGTATGTTTAGGTGTATAGTATTTAAATAAAATATAATATTACAATTATTCCAGGGACAAATTATTTTTATATTTTATTTATTATGATAATTAATTTTACATTTAACATATCCTAAATATCTATTTAATATATGATCCATTTTATATGACTTACATTTTCTAAACAATATTTTTTTCTGCTCTCCTGCTTAACAAAATATAATACTAGACACTATAAACATAATTTGAGTGTTTAGAAATTTAAAAATAAAATAAAATCCCAGTGTTGAGTGGCCTCCAATTTTTTATTTATTATAAAATTAGTAATCTGCTATATGTAAACATTAAATTAAGATATCTGGACTAACTGGATTATTAGAAAAGTGTATCTAATATTTAACTGCATTCTTGAGATGACTAAATAAACTGTAAATTAATATGGATGAAATGGAAGATACTTACAGTGTATAGGTATCTCTATATTGAATAAACTTGGGAAATTACCAATAGTCACTGGCAGTTTTGTTTATGGAGGGATAGAGTGGCTATGCTTTTATGGAAGGGTATGTCTGTGTTTTGGAGGGGTCACTTGTGTGTCTGTATCTAAACTTAATATCTCCCTTTGTGACCACACGTTTATTCATATTTGTCAACCAATTTGTCTCAATTTTTGGTTTAGAAAAATGGTCACCACAGGCATACAAACTCTAGGTAAAATTTGAGCCATCCTCTCTCCTATAACTACACAACTGGTTAACACCTAGCATACAAATTAGATCCCAGGCACTCCCAAAGTGAGGACTGTCACAGAAAAGACACATAAGGTCGAATAAACGTTTGCTACTAGTCATGAGAGCATGCTGTGCACCAGAGAGCAGAGAATCAATCATTGTGTTATGGACGTGAATCTGAATTTAATCCAAACCTGAGTGAACTAAGAGGATGGCACAGGGAGAGGTATTTTAGGAAGATTTTAATTCAAGAGTATTTATGAGTAAGCATAGTTTGTGTCTTGATTTTTAAATAGAACACTGTTAGCAATAGATTGCAAAGTAGCACAATGGCAATACAGTGTTTTTGTCACTTTGAAAAATAGTCTTAACAATGAACACAAATTTTCAGGTAAATAAAGCCCACTTAGGATAAAGCTAATGAGGCATTTATTGAAGAAAAGAATATGTGAAAATTACAAAGGCTGGAGAGAAAAGGTCTTGTATTCTTACGGTTTAGGATACCCAGAGTAATATGTAATGCTGTAAGGATTAGCTTCCTAAATGCCTTCCATTATCATCATCTTCTATTGTGTGTGTGTCCACAGACAAATAGCGTACATCATAGAGTAAATTATTGTTGTAAGAGTAGAAACAAACAAATGGGACATAATACTCCACTTTGGAAAACAATATCCAGAATCTATACACAGACTCTTAGAAAAAATTTCTCTCAAAAATGATAGATATTCTGAATGCCTAAAAAGAAATGCTTACACTCATTAAGAAATTTTCAATTTCTTGAAGTGTTATAGCACATCTATGGAAGATAAGTAATTATCCATGGATCTTTAATAATTACAGTGCTTTATTTTTAAAGCATCTCTCTAAAATTCAGAGCCATATTGTCAAGGCAACTATGAGGTCTGAATAAAAGTTTGAACCATCTTCATGTTAGCATTACATGCAAGAAAAAAAAAAAGAAAGAAAACTGCTTAGTGCACACATATGAAATGCTACCAAACAGAAATGTCCTAAAAACTGGAGATGATAAAAATAAAGTTTCAAACACAGAGTGCCCCTTACCCCAAAGCCAAGCTCCAGTGCTGAGTTGGCTACATAGACTAATGAAAATAAACCTAGTCTTAGCAAAAATGGCCTGAAATAATATAAAGTCACAATCCTTCCTTAGACCCAGAGCCACTAACACAGTGAAACTCTTAGTTGCTTAGCACACATTGTGCTCATTTTGGGTTGGTTTCATGAAACTGACTTATTAATTTCTCAAGGTGGAAAAATAAAACACTCACATAGCTTTAAATATCAGTGGGATTAAAACTGATGTTTATTTAGATTTCAAGTAAATGTATTATATACATTTAGAGGTCAAATTTGTAACATTAATGCTCCTGATAATAGATTGGAGAGAAAAGAAGAAAGGTGACTGCTTCATTGTTTTTATGTTTATCACTTTTATTAATATGTTTTCACAAAACCAGTATATTACCATTCACTTGTTTACAGTGTATTATGATGACTATTCCAATAATATAAGAATACAGGATGGTAAATCTTAAAGTTTTTAGGTAGAGTGTACATCCAGGACTACTAAAGAGTTTTTGTATTGAGATGTGGTTTACCAATGAGGAAGTGATTGTTCTCTATCTATAAAGTTTTATCCAGTGGAAGCAGAGCAAGATGGCCATACAGAAGTTTCCACCAATTATCCTCCCTGAAGGAACACTAATCTGCCCTTCTCCCATTTCCTGGCAGTAACTGCATGACACAGAAAGAGAATCTGTACACCTAGGGGAAGGAGAGCACAGTGATGGCAGGACTTAGCGTTAGAACTCAATGCTGCCTGTCACAGTGAAAAGCAACACCCAGTGAAACTCAGCCAATGTCCGTGGAGAAAGCATTTAGACCAGCCCCAGCCAGAGGTGAATTGTCCATCCCAGCAACTGAAACTTGAGTTCTGTCAAGCTTTGCCACTGCAGGTTAAAACGATCTGGGGTTCTAAATAAACTTGGCAGGCAGTTTAGGCCACAAGGACTTCAACTCCTAGGGAAATTCTAGTTCTGGATTGGGCTTAGAGCCAGTGGACTTGGTGGCACATGACTTAGTGAGACACCAGCCAGAACAGCCAAGATAGTGCTTGCACTACTCCTCCTCCAGCCCCAGGTAGCACAGCTTTCAGCTTCAAAAGAAACACTTTCCTTCCACTTGAGGAGAGGAAAGGGAAGGATAAAGAGGATTTTGTCTTGCAGCTTGGATACCACCTCAGCCACAGTAAAATATGGCACCGAACAGAGTTCTGAGGCACCCATTTGAGGCCCTAGCTCACAGATGGTATTTCTAGACATACCCTGAGACAGAAGGGAACCAGCTTCTTTGAAGGGAAGGACCCAATCCTGAAGTATTTATCACCTGCTGACTAAAGGGCCGTTGGGCCCTGAATAAGCAGCAGCAGTATCCAGGTAGTACACACCGTGGGCCTGGGATGAGACTGAGACATGCTGGCTTCAGGTGTAACACAGCACATTCCCAGCTGTAGTAGCTATGGGAAGAGACTCCTTCTGCTTGAGAAAAGCAGAGGGAAGAGTATGGTGCTTTGTCTTGCACCATAGATGTCAGCTTGGCCACAGTGGAGTAGAGCACCAAGTGGGCGATTCCATGCCTTGGCTCTTGAACAGCATTTCTGGATCAGCCCTGGGTCAGAGGGAAACCCATTGCCATGAAGCATGAGTCCCGGGAAGGGCAGTGTGCACCACAACCTGGCAGAAGAACCCTTGGGCCTTGAGTGAACATCGACAGTATCCTCGAAGTACTCCCCATGGGCCTGTGGTGGTGGTGGCCATGAGGAGAGACTCCCCTGCTTGTGCAAAAAGAAGAGAAGAGTGGGAAGGACTTTGTCCTATAGCTTGTGTGCCAGCTCAGCTGCTAAGGACTAGAGCACCAGGTAGATACCTAAGGTTTCCAACTCTATGGACTAGTTCCCAGACGGCATTTTAGGCCTGACTGGAGCAAGGGGTAACTCACCATCCTGAAGGGAAAGACAGAAGTTAGGCTGGCTTCACCACCTGCTGATTGTAGAGTTATAGGTCCTTGAGTAAACAGAGGTGGTAGTTAGGTAATTGTTACATCAGGCCTTGGGTGAGACCCAGTGCTGTGATGGCTTCAAGCCTGACCAAGCACAGTCACAGTGGTGATGGCCACAGGGGTGCTACTGTCACCTCTTCCCCAGCTCCAGGTAGAACAACACAGAGAGAGACTACATTAATTTGGGAGAAAGTAACATAAGTGAACAAGGATCTCTGCCTGGTAGTCTAGAGAATTCTTCTGGATTTCATCCAATACCACCAAGGCAGTACCCCTACTAGTCTGCAAGAGCTATGGTGTTACTGGGCTTGGGGTGCCCCCAAATGCAGGTAAGCCTTCAGTGACCAAACAGATCACAACACTCAAGTTCCTTTGAATTCTTGGAAAACTTTCCCAAGAAGGAGGGGTACAAATAAGCTCAGATTGAGGAGACTACAATAAATATCTAACTCTTCAATGTTCAGACACTGACAAATATCTGCAAGCATCATGACTATCCAGGGAAACATGACCTCACCAAATGAATTAAGAAATCAAGGACCAATTCCAGAGAGACAATATATGTGACTTCAGAGAGTGGATTCAAAATAGCTGTTTTGAGAAAGCTCAATTAAATTCAAGATAACACAGAAAAGAAACTCAAAAACCTAACAGATGAGCTTGATGAAGAGATTGAAAGAAAAAAGAAGCAAGCAGAAATTCTAGAGTTGAAAAAAATCAATTGACATACTGAAGAATGCATCAGAGTCTTTTAATAGCAGAATTGATCAAACAAGAAATAATTAGTGAGCTTGAAGATAGGCTATTTGAAAATATAGTCACAGGAGATAAAGAAAAAAAGAACAAAAATAAATGCAGCATGCCTAGGGCAAATCTAAGGGTTATTGGCCTTAAAGAGAAGGTGGAGAAATAGAGATAGAAAGTTTATTCAAAGGGCTAATAACAGAGAAGTTTCCAAACTTAAAGAAATATATCAATATTCAAGTATAAGAAGGTTATATAGAACACCAAGCAGATTTAACCCAAAGAAGACTACCTCAAGGGATTTAATAATCAAACTCCCAAAGATCAAAGATAAAGAAAGTATCCAAAAACTGGCAAGAGGAAAAAAAACAACATACAATGGAGAGCTAATACATTGGTGGCACATTTTTGTTGGAAACCTTATAGGCCAGGAGAGAGTGGCATGATATATTTAAAGTGCTGAAAGAAAAAAAATTTACCCTAGAATAATATATGAAGCAAAATTATCCTTCAAGATTAAGGAGAAATAAAGACTTTCCCAGACAAACAAAAGCTGAGGGATTTCATCCACACTAGACCTGTCCTACAAGAGATGCTAAAGGGAGTACTTCAATAAGAAATAAAAGGATGTTAATGAGAATGAATAATCACCTGAAGCTACAAAACTCACTGGTAATAGTAACTACATGGCAAACCACAGAATATTACATCATTTAAACTGTGGTGTGTAAACTACTTTTAACCTAGGAAGAAAGACTAAATGATGAACTAAGAAAAATAAAAAAATCCTACAACAACTTTTCAAGACATGGACAGTACAATAAAATATAAATAGAAACGACAAAATGTTAAAAAGCAGGGAAACAATGTTAAAGTGCAGAGTTTTTATTAGTTTTCTGTTTGCTCGTCTGTCAGTTAGTTTTTGCAGTCAGTGTTAAGTTGTCATCAGCTTAAAATACTGAGTAATAAGACAACATTGGCAAGCCTAGTGGGAATCTAAAATCAAAAAACATACAACAGATGCACAAAAAAATTAAAAGCAAGAAATTAAGACATACCTCCAGAGAAAATCATCTTCACAAAAGAGAAGACAGGAAAGAAAAATGGAAGAGAAGATCAGAAAACACATAACAAGCTGGCAGGAGTAAGCCTTTACTTATCAATAATAATAATGAATGCAAATACACTAAACTTTCTCTTTTAATTTTACAAATTAAAGGACATAGGGTAGCTGAATGGATAAAAAACAAACAAGACCTAACAATCTGTTGCCTACAAGAAACAGACTTCACCATAAAGAAATATATAGACTGAAAGCAAAGAAATGGGAAACATTATTCCATGCAAATGGAAATCAGAAAAGAGCAGTAGTAGTTATATTTACATAAGACAAATAGATTTCAAGACAAAGACTATCAAAAGAGACAATAAAAGTCATTATATGATGATATAAAAGGAGGTCAAATCAGTGAGAGGATATCACAATTGCAAGTACTTACAGACACAACACTGGCACACAAAGATACATGAAGAAATATTATTAGAGCTAAAGAAAGATAAAAAAAAAAAAGAAAGATATGTGCCTCAATACAATAATAGATGGAGACTTAACACTTTACTTTCAGCATGGGACAGTCCTCAGGACAGAAAATCAACAAGTAAACTTGGACTTAATGACCAAATTGACGTAATAGATATTTACAGAACATTTCATCCAACAGCCGCAGAATACATGTTCTTCTCCTCAGCACGTAGATCATGCCCAAAGACTGACCACATTTTAGTCACAAAACAAGTCTGAAAATATTCAAAAAATTGAAATGATATCAAGTATCTTCTGTGACCAAATAGAATAAAACTAGAAATTAATAACAAGAGAAAATTTGGGAATTACACAAACACATGGAAATTAAACAATATGCACCTGAATGACTACTGGGCCAATAAAGACATTAAGAAGGAAATTGGAAAATTTCTTGAAACAAATGATAATGGAAACACAACGTACCAAAACGTATCAGATACAACAAAAGCAGTACTAAGAGGGAAGTTTATAGCTAGAAGCATCTATGTCAAAAAAGTAGAAAAACTTCAAATAAACAAACTAATGACACATCTTAAAAAAACTAGAAACACAAGAGCAAAGTAAACCCAAAATTGGAAGAAGAAAAAATATAATAAAAATTAGAGTGAAAAAATTATATTTAATAAAGAAAATAATACAAAGGATGAACAAAACAAAAAGTTGGTTTTTTGAAGTCAAAATCGACAAATCTTCAATGAAACTGAGAAAAATAGAACACCCAAAGAAATAAACTCAGATATAAAAAGTAGACATTACTACTGATACTGCAAAAATTCACTGGATCATTAGAAGCTACCGTAAGCAAACATATGCCAAAAAATTGGAAAACCTAGGAGAAATGGATGCATTCTTGGATACATACAACCTACCAAGAATGAACCATGAAGTAATCAAAAACCTGAACAGACCAATAACAAGTAATGATATCCAAGCCATAATAACATGTCTCCCAGAAAAGAAAACCTGGGATCTGATGGCTTCACTGATGAATTTTACCATTAAAAAAATACCATTCTTACTTAAACTAGTCCAAAAAATGGAGGAGAAGGAAATACTTCCAAATTCATTCTGTGAGGCAAATATTACTCTGATGCCAAAAGCCAGACAAAGACACACACATACACACACACACACACACACACACAAACTGGCCAGGCACAGAGGCTCACACCTGTAATCGAAGCACTTTGGAAAGCTGAGGTGGGAGATGTGATTGAGCTCAAAAGTTGGAGATCAGGCTGAGCAATATGGAGAAACACCGTCACTACAAAAAATACAAAAATATTAGGCAGGTGTGGTGGCACATGCCTGTAGTCCCAGCTACTTGAAAGGTTAAGGCAGGAGGATTGCTTGAGTCCAGGAGACAGAGGTTGCAGTAAGCCAAGATCCATTCCAGCCTTGGCAACAGAAAAAGACTGTCCAGAAAATAAAAATAATAATAATAATGAAAGAAAACTATAGGCCAATAACACTGGTGAATATTGATGCAGAAATCCTCAACAAAATACTAGCAAACCAAATTCAACAACACGTTTAAAAGATCATTCATTGTGACCAAGTGAAATTTATCGCAGAGATGCAAAGAGGGTTCAACATATGTTAATCAATCAATGTGATACGTCCTATCAACAGAATGAAAGACAAACCATATGAGCATTTCAACTGATGCTTAAAAAAACCGTTTGACAAAATTCAACATCCTTTCATGATAAAAACCCTCAAAAACTGGATGTAGAAGCAACATACATCAACATAGTAAAATCCATATATGGCAAATCCATAGCTAATATACTGAATAGGGAAAAATGGAAAGTCTTTCCTTCAAGATCAGAAATATGGCAAGGATGCTTACTTTCAACATCGTTATTCAACATACTATTGTAAGTGTTTGCTAGAGCAATTGGAAAAGAGAAAGAAATAAAAGGCATCCTAATTGTAAAGGAAGAACTCAAATTATCCTTGTTTGCAGATGATAGAATCTTGTATTTGAAAAAACCTAAAGACTAGACCAAAATGTTATTAGAACTGATAAACAAATTCAGTAAAGTTTCAGGATACAAAATCAGCATACAAACATCAGTAACATTTCTACATACCAACAACAAACAATCTAAAAAAGCCATCAATAAAATAATCTCATTTATGATAAAAACAAATAAATACTTAGGAATTAAGCCAAGGAGTGAAATATCTCTACAGTGAAGACAGTAAAACATTAATGAAAGAAATTAAAGAAGTCACAGAAAATTGGAAAGATATTTTGTGTTCATGGATTGGAAGAATCAATATTGTTAAATTATCCATACAACCCAAAGTAGTCTAAAGATTCAATGCAATCTTTTTCAAAATACCAATGATATTCTTTATATAAATTTTTAAAAATCCTAAAATTTATATTGAACCACAAAAGAGCCCAAATAGCCAAAGCCATCCTAAGCAAAGTGAACAAAACTGGAGGAATCACATTACTTGATTTCAAATTATGCTACATAGCTATAGTAACCAAAACAGCATGGCACTGGCATAAAAACAGACACATAGACCAGTGAAACACAATGGAGAACCCAGAAAAAAAATCCATACACCTACAGCAAACTCATTTTCAACAAAGTTGTTAAGAACATACACTGGGGAAAAAGACCATTTGTTCAGTAAATGGTGGTGGGAAAACTGGACATCTATATGCAGAAGAATGAAATATAGAAAATCATATACAAAAACCAAACCAAAATGAATTAAAAAATTGAGGCTAAGACCTCAAGCTATGAAACTGCTACAAGAAAACATTGGGGAAACTTCCCAAGACATTGGGAAAAGATTTATTGAGTAATAATAACACACAAGCACAGGGAACCAAAGCAAAAGTAGACAAAAGAGATCACATCAAGTTTAAAATTTTTGCACAGCAAAGGAGACAGTTAACAAAGTAAAGTGACAACCCACAGAATGGTAGAAAATATCTGTAAACTATCCATATGACAAGGAATTAATAACCAGAATATACAAGGAGCTCAAACAACTCTGTAGGAAAAAATCTAATAATCCAATTAAAAATGGGTTAAAAATCTTAATAGTTCTCAAATGAAGACATACAAATGACAAACACACATATGAAAAGATGCTCAACACAGTTTATCATCAGAAAAATGCCAATCAAAACCATAATGAGATATCATCTCACTTCACTGAAGATTGCTTATATCCAAAAGGAGGACAATCAGGAACGCTGACAAAGATGGGGAGAAAAAAGATACATATACGTGTGTACACTGTGGGGTGGATTTGGAAGCAACCCTAGTGTCCATCAACAGATGAATGATTAAAGAAAATGTGGTACAATACAGAATGGAATACTATTCAGCCATAAAAAATAATGAAATCCTGTCATTTGCAGCAGCATGAATGGAACAGTAAGTAACTATGTTGAGTGAAATAAGGCAGGCACAGAAAGACACACTTCACACATTCTTATTAAAACAATTGAACTCATGGAGGTAGAGAGTAGAATGAGTGTTTATCAGAGACTCGGTAGGGTAGTGGGGGATTGGGAAGAAGTGGGCATGGTTAATGGGTAACAAAAGTAGAACAAATAAGATCTGATATTTAATAGCACAACAGGCTGATTACAGTCAATAAAAATTTTTAATTATACCTTTTAAAATAACTAAAAGAGTATAATTTCATTGTTTGTAACACAAAGGGTAAATGTTTGATGGGCTGGATTCCCCATTTACCCTGATGTGACTATTATGCATTATATTCCAGTGTCAAAATATGTACTTCATAAATGTATACACCTACTATGTACCCACAAAAATTAAACATAAAAATATTTTGGCTGGACATGGTGGTTCAAGCCTATAATCCCAGCACTTTGGGAGGCCATGGTGGGAGGATCACTTGAGCCTAGGAGTTTGAGAACAGTCTGGGCTACGTGGCAAAATGTCATCTCTACAAAACATACAAAAATTAGCTGGTGTGGTGATGTGCACTTGTAATCCAAGCTACCCAGGAGGCTGAGGTGGGAGAATCACCTGAGCCTTAGAGGTCTAGGCGGCAGTGATCCATGATTATATCACTGCATTCCAGCCTAGGCAACAGAGTGAGACCCTGTGTCAAAAATAAATAAATAAATAAAACAGTTTTACTACCTTAGTAAATAATTCAATGTAGATGACAGCCCATTTAATACTAAATTTTATTTTATACAGGCATTGTTACTGCAAAATTATATTTTATACAGGCATTGTTACTGCAAAATTATGGGCATAAGTTAAATAAAATTAAATGTCAATGTAGCTTTTCAATACTAAAATAATCTTAGGTGTTAAAATTTGTGTGACTAAAATCTACAGATTTACCACCACTGCTGGTTTGCTGAGGTTAGATTATTGTTATCCTACATTTTCAGTTTTGGTGTAATTTTTTCAAATTTTCCTTACAAAAATCATTTGAAATATAGATTATAATTCATGCCTTATACATTATAGGTTTCTTGAAACCTGCAGCATCTCTTTCAGAATTAACAAAAGAAGACAGAATGCACTGAATGGTAGGAAAAGATACCAGATGCTAGTACGGTAACAAAAATTTGAGTAGAAGAATGGCTATTTATAGATACCTCAATTAGAACAATAAGCAGCCTACACAAAGCTCAAGACTATGACAATTTAAAACGAAGATAAAGTAATCATTTCTATTTATCGACTTTGGCCCGTCATAACCAATTAATTTTGTGTTTAATATCTTAAACTATAGTCGTACAGTTCCAGGCTCATTTCAGAGACATTATCCTCCTGACAATTCCTTGAAGCTGCCAAGTCTTAATACCTCTCTACCCATGCTGTTTTCTTTGTTTTTTTTTTTTTGTTTTTTTTTTTTTTTTTGCTTCAGACACTGTTTTGTCAGACATCCAGGGGGCAAGGTTACTTTATGTCTCTCTTCACTATCCTGACCACCAATATAACATAGAACCCCATTCATGTCCTAACTTGACTAAATTGTATTTTACATTCTACTAATCACCTCATAGCTTCTCTCAAGCATTCACATGTATTTGTTTATATGTTCATAGTCTGCATCTTTCCCTCAAAAAATATTATGTTTACCGCTGTATTTCTTGAGTCTAGACATATCTAGTTCACAATGGCAGTTCAAAGATATGTTTTAATAAATGAATTAACTTCGATGGCTTTTTATTATTGTTCATGCTAAAAAATGATAATGGTGATTAAGAAGCCCTTTAAAGCTTTTCATATCATGAGAATGTTTTGTTTTCCCAAGACAGTAGAAAAAGATTGCCAAGTGGTAGTTTAGGGAAGGTGTGTAAGGCATTTTCACCTCTTCAAGAAAACAAACTCTTCTTTAGTAGTCAGAAATTGCTCTGCTTCATACTTTTAGCTGAAGTGCTGATTTCTGTATTTTTGTATCTCTAGTTTTTGTAGACTAAATATGAGTATAAAACAATGAAAGTTTATTATTTGAATCAGTGTTACAATTATTCTTTTCTTAAAACAAGAAAGAGGTTAGATGTGTAAGCTGCGGTTTGGAAAGTTAAGCATTACTACCCACTCACAGGAGTATAACAAGGCATTCACACTCCTCATCTATAAAGTCCACAGGGGAGTAGTATAACTTGACCTGCCTAAACAAAATATTTTGCAAATTATAAAAATATGAAACAGTTCATTTTAATAAAGCCATTGGGCATAGTCTTGTCAAAATATCCAGATGAATTACATAAATTCACTATTTTGTTTGGGTATTCAGTTAATGTGGGCAACACACATTCCTTCTGTCGTATTTGCTTATTGTTTGACATTTTTACTTTGGTTTTTAGAACAAGTATCAGATTGCTTTAAATCATTTCCAACTTGATAACTGGATTAAAAGAACAATCCTCACTGAAAAAATGGGAACATGTGTATACAATTATCAATATATTCAACATCCTCCTGCCTTTAGGAGAACTTTCACACTTTCTTCTTATTGTCTGCCCTGCATCCCCTAAAGAGTCTTTGTACTAGGTGAGTTCCCACTCTGAAACTTATTTCCTGCTACAGTCCATAATATCAGCTTTCTTTTTTGATAGTTCTCTACCAAATAAGTGATGAAACTTGAAACTTGTCCAGAAATTGGAATCACAGATGTCTTTGTGCCCCTCTTACAATCATAAAGGTAATTCAAGGTGTGACCCCAACAGAACAAAAACTGACAATCATGTCTTCATCTCTGCATGCTAATATCCTGTCTAGTGCTCAATAAATCTGTGTAAATGAATGACTGATTGAATGAATAAATACAAATGGCCCATTTTGTAGCCTTATCATTGCCTATTTTCTGTATGGTATTATTTGCTTTGATGTTATACTTACATGTGTTTAGAGGAAGTTTTACTCTAAACATACCTTCCTAAACAATGGAGAAGATTTTTGCACACATGACTTTAGAGCAATTATTTTTTATTTTTATTATACTTTAAGTTTTAGGGTACATGTGCACAATGTGCAGGTTAGTTACATATGTATACATGTGCCATGTTGGTGTGCTGCACCCATTAACTCATCATTTAACAATAGGTATATCTCCTAATGCTATCCCTCCCCCCTCCCCTCACCCCAAAAAAGGCCCCAGTGTGTGATGTTCCCCTTCCTGTGTCCATGTGTTCTCATTGTTCAATTTCCACCTATGAGTGAGAATACGCAGTGTTTGGTTTTTTGTCCTTGCGATAGTTTGCTGAGAATGATGGTTTCCAGCTTCATCCGTGTCCCTACAAAGGACTTGAACTCATCATTTTTTATGGCCGCATAGTATTCCATGGTGTATTTGTACCACATTTTCTTAATCCAGTCTATCATTGTTGGACATTTGGCTTGGTTCCAAGTCTTTGCTATTGTGAATAGTGCCACAATAAACATATGTGTGCATGTGTCTTTATAGCAGCATGATTTATAATCCTTTGGGTATATACCCAGTAATGAGATGGCTGGGTCAAATGGTATTTCTAGTTGTAGATCCCTGAGGAATCACCACACCGACTTCCACGATGGTTGAATTAGTTTATAGTGCCACCAACAGTGTAAAAGTGTTCCTATTTCTCCATATCCTCTCCAGCACCTGTTGTTTCCTGAAATTTTAATGATCGCCATTCTAACTGGTGTGAGATGGTATCTCATTGTGGTTTTGATTTGCATTTCTCTGATGGCCAGTGATGATGAGCATTTTTTCATGTGTCTTTTGGCTTTAGAGCAACTTTAAATTACACGATGGGGAGCATTTAACAAAATAGGCTGTATGCTCTTTTTGCCTATGACAACTATAATAATTATAACTAGATTATTATCCTGTTTCAAATCTTGTGAACACATAAATATATATATATATTTCAATAGATTTCTTTCCATGTGAGAGATTTGTTCTTCCCCTTTGTAATTTACTATGCAACAAATATTAAACTATCTCCATTAACATTACTTTCTCCCCATTTAGGGGAAATAACATAAGATGGAAAAACCATATTAATAATCTACAGAAAGAGTATAAAGGGATAGAAATTCAAGAAAAAAAGACAACTAACTTAAAGTATCTCAAAATATTAAAGATTTATTTTATAGCATTTAATTTAGGCATATCACATAATGGTCAAGAGCATGAGTTCTGTAATAAATTCTGTCCATACTGAAAATTAGAATCCTGATTCTCTAACTAGAAATATGAACCTAAGCACATTATTTCACCTCAGCTTCTTTACCCTGCCATTTGGGTTCACAACCATATTGTTTATTCTAAAAGATAATTGTTGTTGAATGTTCAGAATAGCATCTGCATGTAAAACACATTCTATAGCAATTTTCAGTAGTATTAGTAATAAAATAATTGTTATCTGTTAGAATAGAAATCTCTAGCCTTTGGGTGGATAAAAGATATTAAACAACAATTAATTTTTAAGCTATAACTAGAGGTAATGACAAAGACACATGAAAAATAGAATGTTCACTAATGATGACATTGATATGTAGGATAGGGAAGCTCTTCAAATGCTGGTGAGAAAGTAAACATATCAAATAAATAAAAACCCATCCTAGCAATTTTCTGCTACTGGAAACCTTGGACACTTCTAGTGAAAGACAAACATTTCTGCCTTGCATCATTTTTTCCAATCTCACTGGTCCAACTCCAGCCAGAGCCTATATTCATTCAATCCTAGTATAAAAATTTCCTTTAGTCTTCCATCTCTATACTCATCAAATCTATTATGCTCATCAATTTTTAAATTAATTTTCAGAAAGCACTGTTTTGGTAGAGTCAATCTCATGCTTCAAAGCCTTAATTGACTTCTCTATTGCCTATAGAATAAAGCTCAAGTCCTTTAACTCTCACTCAAAGATTCCTGTACCTAGTCTCAATCTCTGTTTCTAAACTTTTCCTTTATTTGCTATCCTGTGTAAAACTTACAAGTTACAGCCAAGATGAAATTTTCTAGGTATCATGTCATTGTATCACATCACATATCATGCTACACTCTGTCTCATCTATCTAGTCATTTAGATTATGTGTACCATATACTTGAATTGGATAACATGTTTGTAAAATATTTGAATTTCACAAAATAATGGAGTGCTTTGTGTAAAATATATGCTCAATCAATATTTTTTATACAGTGATGAATCCTATATTCAAGACAAGACTAGGGAGCTCTTGAAGTAGAGATTAAACCCAGTTTAGACTCAACTTACTCAACACATCTCCCTCTTCCCAATCTTCAATGCTCATGGTAATCCTTTTTCTTAAGTATCTCTTTATATCTGATTTCTCTTTTATTCCATCTCATTGGTCTCACCAAGGTCCCATCCTCTTGTGTCTGGATTATTGCAAGTGTTCTAACTGGCTTCCCTACTTTCAAACCCAGTCTGCTGCATTTCATCTAGCTCACTGCTTCCAGGATGATTCTCACCAAGTTCTAGTCTGAGAATATCCTGCAGTGGGTTTCTCATTGCCTATAGCACAAAACCTAAACTCTTTAAAAAAACACCCAAAGTTCATAGGTTCTGTCCTTTATCTACCTTAACTCATGTTTTATAGTCTCTGCTTCTACCCTATGAAATTATAGTACTTGCAGTTTTGCAATTCATACAGTATTTAATGAATACCTTTTTTAAATTTATTATGATAGAGCCTAGGGTGATCCCCAATAATTCTCAGCCTTCGCTGACCACTCCTTCGCATAATCCCTTTCCTTGAAGTGTGGGTTGTATCTGTGATTTCGTTCTAGCCAACAGAATTTGGTGAAGGTGATGGGATGTCACTCCCATGATAAAGCTATGCTATATGGCAAAGATAAAGGGATTTTGCACATGTAATTAAAGTCCTATATGAGTTGATTTTTGAGTTAACAAAAGGGGTTTATCTCAGGTAAGCATGACCTAATCAGCCCTTAACATTGAGAGTTTCTCCTGCTGGCCTTGCTGAGGCAAACATCCATATTTCAAATGTCCATGGGCAAAGCCTTGTAGACGGGAGCTATGGGTGGCTTGCAGGACCTGAGTGCAGCCTCCAGGACAACAGCCAGTAACAAGCCAGGGCACCAGCACTACAACCACAAGGAAATTAATTCTGCCGAGAACCTGAATGAGCTTGGAAGCTGATTCTTCCCTACTTGGAGCTACTAGGTGAGACTGTAGACAAAGCCAGCACCTTGAATACAGCTTGTGAGACACTGACTACAGGGCTCAGCTAGGCATTCCCAGACCCAGACACATGGAAGTTATGAGATAATTAATGCATGTTGTTATAAGCCACTGAGTTGGTAGTACTTTTTTATTCAGCAAAAGATAACTAATAAACCATAATATTGTCTTTTCCTGCAATATATTCACCCCCTACTTTCTACTTAGTTCTATATCCTACTAAAATAATCCTTTCACAGCCAGTCTAAATATCACCTCCTCCACAAATCCTTTACTTATTGATTATTTTTGATTAATTATACATGCTTTTGACTTCTCAGAGTATTTTCTACCTATTGTTGTTAATATGAATCATACGATATTGAAATTTGATTTTAAATGTTCCTTTTTCTCTATGAACAAGAACTTCCTTGATAGACCAAGCAAGTATATACGCATTTGAATATGTAACATAATAATTATTAAATTAGATGATCCAGTGTCATCTGGTATGTTTATCGGCAATATTTTATGAGTTCTTATAGTACTTCAAACTATCCATTTGAACCTTGAAATTCCCTGCTAAACAAAAAGTGGAAATAGAGTTCTCATAAAAGGACACATCACAGAGGTTGGAAATGTAGTAAAATTCAGGGAGACAAGACAAGGTTTCATAGTAAAAGAATGATTTTTTTTGAAGAGTTGATGTTAACAATACTGTTATAAAAATGACTTGATCTTGATGAGAATGACTTCAAAATTTTACAGTTACTCTGAAAAGAAATAAAATGAGATGAATTACAATGAAAAGTAAATAAGGAAAATAGTTGCTTGTACCTTGAGTTCTGACACAGTATGAATGATGATGGCTTCATAGTGTCTGATCTATGACATATGAAATAAGTTTTAGGACCCACATAACATATGGTTAGATTAAAAGGGAGATAATGTATGCTGAAAGCCTAAGCTAAGTATAAAGAGCCTGATACATATATAATTTAGCCTTTTCCACTACTGGCATGGCTTTCAAAGATGCTGAGGAGTTTTAGTAAGCCACTTAATGTAATATGTCATCATAATGCAAAGAATTCTCTCTAATCAAAGGAAGTTTTTTTCCTATCCCTTAATATAGTCAGTCATGTAAAATGTAAAATATCCATAACTAATAGAATGCTGGTAGTTATCCACCATGGTGCTGTTATATAGCCTATAAAGTGCTTTTTTCCCTTCAACTCAAGGATATAATTGTATTAATAGGAAAATAATGCAAGAACATCTTGAGCAACAGCGTGTTCAAGGGCTTCATGCTGGATCTTATTTCTGGTTATAGAAACTCACTTTCACATAGACTATTTTGACAGTCATCAAATTGTAATTCAGATAAGCTATCAATACACGTATTTTTAGAGTGACTCTTTTTGCTCATAATTGTGCAGCCAATAATTAACAATGCTGAACCCACCTCTCCAGAGTGGGTTCGGAGATCTGTTATTTTATTATAATTGACCACATGTCAATTAGCTACCATATCATCTTGCCCCCACCCCTTCATATGAGGTGAGGAAAATAACTGCGTAAATAACTTCTATTATTTCTGCCTTTTCATTTACTGTTGTTAGGATGCTGCCCAGGATTTATAATCTAGAAGAGAATGTGACAGAAATAACTAGACTACTATTATCACATTATTAATATTTCTAAGGCCTAATCAAAATGGCAAAAGTTTAACAGCCATATCTGGAAAATCTGTGGCTAGATGGTTGCTTGCCTGGTATCTGAAAGGTTAGACATATAGCTGGGCAATTCTCTGAAACAAAGGCCTAAGCATTGCATAAAATCTTTTACAGAAGTATCAGGCAATTTGTCAGGCTTAATGTCTAGGAAAGTGTCTATTAAAAAAAGATCTAAGAAAAAATAAGAAGGTAAAAGAAATCTCTGTTAAGGGATTTCTTGGCTTCCACAATTAGCTCTAAAACTGGATATATCACTTATAACTCTTGAATCTCAATTTTCTCATTGGTAAAATTGGATTAGCTATTCCTACCTTGCCTACATCACAGAGAAATTGTGAAAATACAGTGGAATAACATGGGTAATATTTATTTGAAAACTACAATATGCCTTAGAAATACATGCTACCATTTTCCACCATATATAGAACTCATTCCTAAATATTTGAATTGATTACTCAGCCAAATGCCCTGAATCATGACAAAAAAAGCAGACTGTTGAAACTGTTTGGTATTTACTAACATAGATCATTTTATCTTATGCTTTATAAAATATTCATTTCATTTATCCTTGAAAGAATCAGGATTAATCAATAACAAAGAAAAAAATAAAATGCATGTCTATGGTTGTATTTCTCCATATATAGGACCAGATGGCCTTCACTAGCTGATTGATCAAGTACAGATATTATTTTTTAAAATTAAGTATATATATTTACATACTTAAGTTAAATATATAAATGCATACTAAATATACTTTGAATGATTAATAGATACAAGTATGAGAGCCAGCTATGCTATAGTATTGATTGAAATCTTTATATGTGCATATATGACACAACACTGGGAAAAGTCATTCTTGGATTATTTTAGTACTACAAATCTTTCTCTCATGCACACTCTCCCCATATGACTTTTCCTAGAGTTGTGTCGTCTATGACCATCTAAAGATTTCAATCAATACTATAGCATGGCTCACTTTCAAACTTGTATCCATTAATCATTTGAAGTTTTATTGACAAAATAATGCAACAGAATGTCTTGTCCATTAATTCCTGCTATTTTATTAATTTCATTACTTATGATTAGTGCCTATAGTTATAGACACCATAGTTCTTCCATTGTTTAAATACATAATAAAATGGATCTAAAATTTTTAAATTTGACTACACAGCTAGGCACAGAAATTGTCATATACAAACCACATAATCATAATGGTTTTTCCCTGTTTTAACCAGAGAGTAAAACATGTTAATACACACACACACACACACACACACACACACACACACACACACTGATAGAAAAAGATATAACTAGTAATTCTAACTTAAGATTTCAGGACATGAAGGACAACTAGATTTGGCCATAAATAACTTGTCTACATTTTAAAAACAAAATTTAATTAAGCTTTTTTTCTTGAAAAAAATGCGTATTACTATTTTAAGTGTGTCCTTTCATAGGAATAGATGGAGTCAAACCAGTGAGAAGGAAAGGGCATTAAATATATAATTTTATAAAAAATTAATGAAACTTTTTGGGTTTCAATTTTCCTTTAAATTCAACAAGATATTTGAACTTTAGTCCCATCCGTTATATATATTTAAGCTCATTTTGAAAACTCAAACACACTTGTAGTTAAGTGTGTATTGATTCTGTATCCTGATTTCAAATATTACTTTTTATTTTCAAGGTAATTTTGAATTATAAGAAATGTCATGCTTTAACTATATCTTTACAAATATTTATTAATGCCCCATCCATGCAGTAGCTATCCTGTGTGTCAGATTTACATACAAAACATACTTGGACGTTGATTTCCAAGAGGCTATAGTCTAACAGAAAAATAAAATATGCACAAAAATGTCAGTACCAAAAATTAAAATAACTGTATGTCATAAGATATAAAAAGCATGTTAGTTTAGTGAGAAAATATGTATTTACCCATTTGTTCATTCATTCACTCAACAATTATTCATTATATGTCTACTGAATGGGAAAAGCATGTCTCATAAAGTTACCTTTAATAATAGAAATGTAGGCCAGGTATGGTAGCTTATATCTGTAATCCCAGCACTTTGGGAGACCAAGACAGGAGAATCACTTGAACCCAGGAGTTCAAGTCCAGCCTCGGCAACATAGTGAGACCTCACCTTTACAAAATAATTTTTAAAATAGCAGGGTGTTGCAGTGCATGCCTGTAGTCTAAGCTACTTGAGAGACTGAGGTGGGAGAATTGCTTGAGCCTGGGAAGTCGAGGCTGCAGTGAGCCATGATTGCACCACTGCATTCCAGCCTGGATGACAAAGAAAGATGCTGTCTCAAATAATAATAATAACAATAATAATAATAATAATAGAAATATAATCAGAAAATGATGTCTTCCATAAGAAAGGAATTTTTAACAGTTGTTTTGTTGTGATATATACTTACATAATTATCATCGCTTCTTTTGTTCATCATATTGTTAACTATACTTTACTGGGCACATAGATTATTCCATGAACTATTTTGATAGGCAAAATAATCATCTTGCAGAGATATTTATGCCCTAATGCCTGGAACATGTGAATATTTTTCTTTAATGGCAAAACAAGCTTTGCAAAAGGAATTAAGGACCTTGAGGTAGGGAGATTATCTTGGGCTTTGTGGGTGAGACAATCTAATCACAACAGTTCTTAAAGGGGGAAAAGAAGAGCCAGAAAGGTCGGAGATATGTGATGTGAGATAGTCTCAACCTGCAATTGCCAGCTTTGAAGATGAAGGAAGGAGACATTGAATGAAGTAATGTGATAGTGTCTAGAAGCTTGGAGTGGTCCTTAGTTTATAGTCAGCAAGAAAACAGGGACCTCACTAAGTCTTATAAACACAAGAGACTTACTTAACCAATAACTGAAATAAGCAAAAATTTAATTTCTCCACTAGAGCTTCCAGAAAGGAAAACAGACACTGAACACTTGACTTTAGCTCAGTGAAACCTGTACCAGACTTCCCTACAGAACTGTAAGATAACAAATTTGTGTTTAGTTATGCCATTGGTTTGTAATCATTTATGTCAGCAATATGAAACTAACACAGTTGTATTAGAATATATACACACAATTAAGAACAGAACATATTATACACCATTGAGGACTTTACAGTCTTGCAGTTATTAGGTTATGATGCTTGTTGGCCACTTAAAAAAACTTTCTGTTACCCATTGGTGCTGTTCAGAGATATTCTGTTTCTCTTTGTAGGCACCGAGTAAGATTGAATGTTTCTGACTCCTTGAGGAAGGTCTAGCCATGTGATTTGATTTGACCACTGAATTGTAAGCAGAAGAGACTTGAGTTATATCCAGGAGAAACACTTTCAGAATCAGAAATTTATTTGCTATAACTTTTTAAATCTTTTACTATGACTAGAAATGTTCTAGGTTTATCTGAATTTTTGATGAGATCAAGCAAAAGCAGAATCCCTCCCTAAACTGAGGCACATGAAGTATGAGCAATTTAAAAAACTTTGCTCTAAGTCATGAAGTTTAGGGTTCATTTATTTTCATAGTGTAACCAATATAGTTTATACTGACTGAAATACTGACCAAAATAAAAGGAAAAAAAAAATCCCCCTGGTGTTCTGGACTGAATAACAGACAAGTCCTGTTAGTTTAATGATATATTCATAAGCAGAGAAAAATGTAATTCTTTTGTTCTGTTTTGCAAAATTACATATAAACATAACAGCATAGACAAATTAGACAGGTTATAAGAAAATCAACTCCCCCCCCAAGAAAAAACAAGTTGTGCTTCCAGTAAATGGACTAGTTTAAGACAAACTCTACTACTGAGGATAAATAGAAATATGGGGCATTAAAAAATCAGTGTGATGGCATCAGGGAGCTACCAAGGGAGAGAAGATATACAGAGCTAAGATTTGGGAGAATAAAAAAGCTAAGGCAAGTGATTCTGTTCTCCCCTCAAAACCATCACAGCAACTTAGGGACTGTTGAAAGATTTCCTCCATCTTACAGGGCTTGGTGATAAAAGCTAGTGTTCAGAGTCTGCCTAGCATGGATCCCTGGAAAGTGCCTTAATTCTAGTTGTGAGAATATGCAAAAGCTGACACTAGTGAAGTCCTTAAAATACCTGAGGCCCAGTTTCAAATAATCTCAATTTCTGATTGAATTTAGGTGACCTGGACCTAGCCTAGATGTCTGACATGAACAAATTGAGTATTTTCAGGAAGAGTGGACTATCATTCATTACTTAAATGACTGTTACTATTTTTCATATACAGTCTCCAAAATAGAGTCAACAATAACCATGCATATAGAAAGGTAAGACTTGACCCAAAAAAATTCAAGGAAAGAAAGTGAAGACAATAGAAACAGACTCATAGCAGAGCCAGATATTGAATTTACCAATCATGAACTATGAAGTAAACATAATTAATATTTCAAGAAACTCAGAAGATACAGAATTTTGTCAGAGTTCAACGCTAGGAAAATATCAAGTGAAAAATTCTAGAAATGGAAACTAAAATAACTAAAATAAAAAATTTAATCATGGATTTAAATTCACATTGTGCATAGCCAAAATGAGAATTCATAAAATGTAAGATAGGATGAAGCTTGAAACATTGAGAGAATACAAACAAATTATATCAAAGATAAAGACAGCATAGACACAAAAGGGCAGGATGAAAAGTTCAGAGATATGCATTTGGAGTTTCAAAATGAGAATAGAAAGAATGAGGCAGGAGCAATATTTAAAGAGATAAGACATCAATTCATAGAATCAAGAATAACTATAATGATATAAACAAAGAAAATCCACTTGGTATATTCTAGTAACAATGCAGAAAACCAAATATATACAGAAAATTCTTGTAGCTAGGGAAAAAGACACATCATATCTAAAGGAACAATGATAAGATTGAAAGCTATTTTTTTTTCCATAAGGACAGTGGAAGCCAGAAAACTATGGACAGATATCTTCAAAGAACTGAAAGGAATTTGTTTTAAATGAAGACAAAATAAAGACACCTTCAGACCAACAAAACTTAAAGGAATTTGTCAACAACAGTTCTGCACTAAAAGAAATAGTACGAGACAGGTGGATCGCCTGAGGTCAGGAGTTCGAGACCAGCCAGGCCAACATAGTGAAACCCCATCTCTACTAAAAATACAAAAAATTAGCTGGGTGTGGTGGCAGGTGCCTGTAATCCCAGCTACTATGGAGGCTGAGGCAGGAAAATTGCATGAACCCGGGAGGCAGAGATTGCAGTGAGCTGAGATCGCGTCATTGCACTTTAGCCTGGGCAACAAGAGCAAAACTCTGTCTCAAAAAAAAAGAAAAAAAAAAAAAAAAGGAAAAGTAAAGAAGGCTCTTGAGCTGGAAAGAAATAACTTAGATTTAAATTCAAAATGGAAAAATAAAGAAAAAGCAATAGAAAAAGAATATATGAGTATAAATTTTAAAGGATTTTAAAAATAATGTATAAATTATGAAAGTTATGTTACATAATTATATTTTGCAAATAGCTTATACTACTTATTAGAATTAAGTGTCAATTTTTGTTATAGTATATAAAGCAATAATAATGTATTTTTCATTATAAGATATGTGCAAAATTAAAATACACAACGACAGCTCAAAGAATGACATGATTTTCATAGTGTTAAAATGTTGCAAAAGCTTTGTACTATCCTGGCAATAGCAAAAATAAAAAATACATATTAGATTTTAATAACCAGTGGCGTATGTTGCAATCTCTAGGACAGCCATTAAAAGAATAGTAAAATAATTTACAACTGTTAGGCTGACTAATAGAGGGAAATATGGAACATTTCTTTATCATAAGAGGGTCAATTCACCAGAGAACTATAACAATTTAAAGTCTGTATGCATCTAAAAATTAAAAATAAATACATAAATTTATATGCACCCAAATCTGTATGCCTCCTAATATATAAAACAAAAACTGGCATCATTGAAAGGAGACTGAAAATCCACAATTATAGTGAGAGATTTTAACACATCTATCAAAAACTGATAGAATAAACAGGTTAAAAATATATAAGGGAATGGAAGATTTGATCAGAAGTAACAAATTTGTTTTAATTGCTACGAACGCATCGTATTGACTTCCTTAGTCTGTTGTAACAAAGTACCACAAACTAACTGGGTAGCTGAAACAGAAATTTATTGTCTAACAGTTCTAGAGACTGGTAGTCTGAAACCAAATTGTTACCAGAGCCACACTCCTTCAGAAGGCACTAGGAAAATATCTGTTCTAGGCCTCTATTCTACCTTCTGGTAGTTACCTGGCTTGTGGCATTATAAGTTGAAGCTTCATATGATATTCTCCCTGTGTTTGTGACTTCATGTGGTATTTTTTTTCTATTTTATTTCATTTTATTTTTCACAATTTTATATAATTTTAACTTTTAGTTTCAGGGGTACATGTACATGTTTGTTAATGGGCATATTGTGATGCTGAGGTTTGGAGTATAAAAAAATCCCGTCACCCAGATAGTAAATATAGTACCCAATGTTTTCAGCCCTTGCCTCACTCCTTCTCTCCCCACTTTGATAGTCCCAAATATATACTGTTTCCATTTTTATATCCGTGTGTACCCAATGTTATCTCCCACTTGTAAATAAGAACATGTGGTATTTGATTTTCTGTTCCTGCATTAATTTGCTTAGGATAATGGCCTTCAGTTGCATCCACATTGCTGCAAAGAACATGCTTTTGTTCATTTTTATGGCTGCATAGTAAATGATGTATATGTACCATATTTTATTTATTCAACCCATCATTGATGGGCATCTAGGTTGATTCCATGTCTTTGCTATTGTGAATAGTTCTGCAGTGAACATATATGTGCATGTGTCTTTACGGTAGGACAATTTATTTTCCTTTGGATATATATCCAGTAATGAGACTGCTAAATCCAATGATAGTTCTGTTTTGAGTTATGTGAGAAATCTCTAAATGGCTTTCCACAGTGTTTGAACTAATTTACATTCCTACCAACAGTGTATGAAGTGTTCCCTTTTCTCTGCAGTCTCGCCAATATCTGACATTTTTTGACTTTTCAGTAATAGCTATGATTGTTGGCTGCATGTATGTCTTCTTTTGAAATGTGTCTGTTCATGTTCTTTGCCCATTTTTTTTTGAGATGGAGTCTTGCTGTGTTGCCCAGGCTAGAGTGCAGTAATGCGACATTGGCTCACTGAAACCTCTGCCTCCAAGGTTCAAGCAATTCTTCTGCCTCAGCCTCCCAAGTAACTGGGATTTCAGGCACCCACCACCATGCCTGGCTAATTTTTGTATTTTTGGTAGAGATGGGGCTTTGCCATGCTGCCCAGCTAGTCAACAAGTGGCACCTGCTTCGGCCTCCCAAAGTGCTGGGATTACAGGCATGAGCCCAGCCATTTGCCCATTTTTTTAATGGGGTTGTTTGTTTTGTGCTTGTTTAATTATTTAAGTTTCTTATAGATTCTGGATATTAGATCTTTGTCAGACCCATAGTTTATGAATATTTTCTCCCATTCCATTGGCTGTTTACTCTGTTGATGGTTTCCTTTGCTGTGCAGAAACTCTTTAGGTTTTTAGGTTTCACTTAAGTATTTTTATTTTTTTTGCCATTGCTTTTCAGAACTAAGACATAAATTCTTTCACAGGGCTGATTTCGAGAATGGTATTTCCTAGGTTGTTTTCTAAGATTCTTATAGTTTTAGTCTTATATGTAGATCTTTAATCCATCTTGAGCTAATTTGTAGGTGGTGAAAAATAGGGGTCCACTTCCATTCTTTTGCATAACTAAACAGCTACCCCGGCACTATTTATTGAACAGAGAATCCTTTTCTCATTGCTTATTTTTGTTGACTTTGTTGAAGATCAGATGGCCATAAATGTGTGGCTTTATTTCTGAGTTCTCTATTCTGTTTCATTGGTCTATTTGTCTTTTTTCTTCTTCAACTTTTATTTTAAGTCCAGGGGTACATGTGCAGGATAGGCAGGTTTGTTACATAGGTAAATGTGTGCCATAGTGGTTTGCTACACAGATCTTCCAATCACTTAGGTATTAAGAGCAGCACCCATTAGCTATTCTTCCTGATGCTCTCCCTCCCCTCACTCCCCCTTCTAACAAGCTTCAGTGTGTGTTGTTCCCCGCCAAGTGTCCATGTGTTCTCATCGTTCAACTCCCACCTATAAGTGAGACCAGTGCTTGGTCTTCTGTTTCTGCCTTAGTTTCCTGAGGATAATGGCTTCCAACTCTATCCATATCCCTGCAAAGGACATGATCTCATTCCTTTTTGTGGCTGCATATTTGTCTATTTTTGTACCAGTACCATGCTGTTATGTTTACTGTTGCCTTATAGTATAGTTTGAAGTTGGGTAATGTGATGCCTCTGGTTTCATTCTTTTTGCTTAGGATTGCTTTGGCTAAACTGGCTCTTTTTTGGTTCCTTGTGAATTTTAGAAGAGTTTTTTTTTTTTTTCATTCTGTGAAAAATAATGTCGGTAATTTGATAGAACTGGCATTGAATCTGTAGATTGCTTTAAGCAGTATGGTCATCTTAGTGATGTTGATTCTTCCAATACATGAGCATGGAATGCTTTTTCATTTGTTTCTGTCATCTATGATTTATTTCTACAGTGATTTCTAAGTCTTAATGTAGAAATTGTTCACCTCCTTGGTTAGATGTATTTCTGGGTATTTTTTTCTCTGACTATTGTAAATTGTATTGTGTTCTTGATTTGGCTCCCAGTTTGAATGCTATTCATGTATAAAAATGTTAATGATTTCTGTACATTGATTTTGTACTCTAATACTTTATCGAAGTTATTTTTCAGTTCTAGGATCTTCTTGGTGAAGTCTATAGGGTTTTCTAGAGATAAGATCCTATCATCAACAAAGAGAGATAATTTGATTTCTCCTCTTCCTCTTTGGATGTCTTTTATTTATTGCTTCCAGCTTCTGCTCATTCAGTATGATGTTGGCTGTGGGTTTATCATAGATAGCTCTTACTATTTTAAAGTGTGTTCCTTTGAGTGGCGCTCTTTTTATAACAATACTAGTCATTTGGATTAGGAGCCCATCCTACTCTGCTATGACCTAATCTTAATATAATGAATTATGTCTTCAATAACCCTATTTCCAAATAAGGTCACATTTTGAGGTATTGAGGGTTAGGACTTCAACATAGAAACTTTTGGAGATACAATTCAACTTATAAAACATACGAGTCACCCAACAAGTGTGCATTTGAAGTGTTTACCAGTATAGACATATACTGGGCCATTAAACTGGCCTCTGTAAAATTAAAAGAATTGGGAACATGAGTGAATTAAGTAGAAGTTTCTTTTAAAAAACCCACTGAATTCTCCACATTTGCAATAGTTTCATTCTGAAAAGTCTCTGTGAATATTGAATTAATGAATATTTAATTATTGCTTCTGGGGGAAATATGTACATATAAATACATATCACATAAACTGTACTCTTAAATTACAAAGACTTTACTTTCTTTATTCTTATAAAAAGAAAATAAGGCTCAAACTGTTAAGCAACTTGCCCGAGGCTACCCTACTCCCTCATAGATGCCAGAATTGGGATTTAAACGCTGTCCAGCTGCCCCATAGTCAGAACTTCTGGCACTACACTGCACTGTTCTCATCATCTCGATCCTCTCATCACATTTGTAAGACAGCTGAAACAAGAATGCAGGGTGTTGCCTTGTTTTACCTCAGCGGGAACATGTGCATCATCAAATAGACTCAAATTCTTCCCCACTCTTTGCACATCTGCCAGTGGCAGTGCCATGAGTATTGATTTTGGGGCTACAAATAAATTTTTGTGAGTAAGCAAATTTGCAAATATAGGATTCATAAATAAGTAGGATGGACTGTAACTAGAAAATCTTCATAAATATAGAAATTAAGCAATATACTTCTGAAAATCCAATGCATCAAAAAGTAATCACAATGGAAATAAAAACTATTTTAACATCATAATAACAAGCATATCAAAATTTGTAGGATGAAACTAAATCAGGATTTAAAGGAAATTAATTACATTCAAAGCAAATATTAGAAAAGAAGAAAGAGAAAAATGAGTTAAATTGCCTGTTTCCAGATAACATGATCTTGCATATAAACTCTAACAACTCTACCAAAAAAACTGTTAGAACTAATAATTTCAGTAAAGTTGCAAAGTATGAAATCAACATACAGAAGTCACTGAAATTTTTATTCACTAATAAGAAACTACCTGAAAAATAAATAATCAGGAAAACAATCTTATTTACAATGGCTACAAAAATAATGAAAATATCTAGGAATACATTTGACCACGAGGTGAAAAATCTATAAACTGAATGAATGATCAGTACAAGAGATAATTTAGAGTAAAGGGAATACTTGCAAAGTATTGGCGGGAATGTAAATTAGTACAGCCATTATGAAAAACAGTATGGTGATTCCTCAAAAAACTAAAAATAGAACTGCCATATGATTCAGAAGTCCTACTACTGGGTATATATTCAAAAGATATGAAATCAGTAACTCTGAGATATGTCTAAATTCTCATGGTCATTGCAGCATTATTCACAATAGCCAAGATGGAATCAATCTGTGTTCATCAACAGATGAAAGGATAAAGAAAATGTGATATATACAAGCAATGGAATACCATCCAGCCATAAAGAAGGAGGAAATTCTGTCATTTGCAACAACATGGATGAACCTAGAGGACATTATGTTAAGTGAAATAAGCCAGGCTGATATGGTTTAGCTATGTCCCCACACAAATCTCATCTTGAACGGTAGTTCCCATAATCCCCACATGTCATGGGAGGGACCTGGTGGGAGGTAATTTAACTATAGTTAATAACAGTGTATTGTGTTCTTGAAAATTGCTGAGAGTAGATTATGTATTCACACCATAAAAAATGAAGTTTGTGGCATACTGTGTATGTT